>NC_000006.12:48847878-49150909 GCF_000001405.40 Homo sapiens | reverse complement strand
GGGACAGATAACTATCTAACACACTAAGCTCCCAGGGCAGGGGAAGGGCGACATGCCTCTCTATAGCTCCAGGCCACACTTTTCCCCGGCTGGAGCCAAGGAGGCTGGAAGGTTTGGTCCCAAGAGGTATCCCTCACAGCCCAACACACCAGCTGTGGCAGACTGCGGACAGTGCCTCTTCAGGCCTGACATTGACCCATCACTTTTCACTGGGTGGGGCCTCACTGCAGAAACTCCAACTCCAGCCAGGGGCTCAGGGACAGAACTCTGATCTCCCTGGTCCTGAACATCTAGGGGCAGAGGTGGCTGAAGACTCCGTGGATGAGCAGACTTAGTCTTTCCTCCTGCTAGTTCTGAGGAATCCAGGCAGCCCAGACCAGTGGGTTTCCCCTCAGCAAAGCATACCCCATCCACCAAAGGACAAAGTGATTTGTTAAACAGGTCACCCACCTGGGTGAAACCCTCCAACAGGGGTTGTCAGACACCCTATAGGGGAGCATTCCTACTGGCATCAGATCGGTGCCCCTCGAGGTCAGAGATCCCAGAGGAAGGAATAAGCACCCATCTTTGCTGTTCTCCAGCCTTCTGGAGTGCATATGCAGGTGTGGGAGCAAACCACATGAATAGGGCCTGAAATGAACCCCCAGAAAACTGCAGCAGCCCCATAGAAGAGGGATCTGATGATTGCAAGAAAAACAAACAGAAAGCAACAACGACAACATCAACAAAAAATTCCCCACAAAAATACCATCCAAAGGTCAGCAGCCTCAAAGATTGATACTAGATAAACTCATGAAGATGAGAAAGAATCAACGGAAAAACACTGAAAACCCAAATGGCCAGAGTGCCTCTTCTCCTCCAAGTGTATGCAGCACCTCTCCATCAAGGGTGCAGAAATGGGCAGAGGATGAGAGGGACAAATTGACAGAAGTAGACTTCAGAAGGTGAATAATGACAAACTCCATTGAGCTAAAGGAGCATGTTCTAACCCAAAGCAAGGAAGCTAAGAACCTTGATGAAAGGTTACAGGAGCTGCTAACTAGAATAACCAGTTTAGAGAGGAATGTAAATGACCCAATGGAGCTGAAAAACACAACATGAGAACTTCGTGAAGTATACAAAAGTATCAATAGCCTAATCGACCAAGCAGAAGAAAGGATATCAGAGTTTGAAGACCATCTTGCTGAAATAAAACATGCAGACAAGATTAGAGAAAAAAGAATGAAAAGGAATGAACAAAACCTCTGAGAAATATAGGACTGTATACAAAGATCACACTTATGATTGATTGGAGTACCTGAAAGAGATGGGGAGAATGGAACCAAGTTGGAAAACACACTTCAGGATATTATCCAGGAGAACTTCCCCAACCTAGCAAGACAAGACAACATGCAAATTCAGGAAATACAGAGACCACCACTAAGATACTCCAAGAGAAGATCAACCCCAAGACACATAATAATCAGATTTTCTAAGGTCGAAATGAAGGAAAAAATGTTAAGAGCAGCCACAGAGAAAGGCCAGCTCACCTACAAAGGGAAGCTCATCAGACTAACAGCAGACCTCTCAGCAGAAACCCTACAAGCCAGAAAAGAGTGGGGGTCAATATTCAACATTCTTAAATAAAAGAATTTTCAATGCAGAATTTTATATCCAGCCAAACTAAGTTTCATAAGTGAAGGAGAAATAAAATCCTTTCCAAACAAGCAAATGCTGAGGGATTTCGTCACCACCATGCCTGCCTTGCAAGAGCTCCTGAAGGAAGCACTAAATATAGAAAGGAAAAACCAGTACTAGTCACTGCAAAAACACACCAAAATATAAAGACCAAGGACACTAGGCAGAAGCTATATCAACCAGTGTGCAAAATAGCCAGATAGCATAATGATTACAGGATCAAATTCACAAATAACAATATTAATGTTAAATGAAAATGGGCTAAATGACCCAATTACAAGACACGATGAAGGAATATTTACCAAGCAAATGGAAAGCAAAGAAAAAGTAGGAGATGCAATCCTAGTCTCTGGCAAAACAGACATTAAACCAACAAAAATCAAACGAGACAAAGAAGGGCATTACATAATGGTAAAGGGATCAATTCACCAAGAAGAGCTAACTTTCTTAAATATATACACGCCCAATAAAGGAGCACCCAGATTTATAAAACAAGTTATTAGAGGCCACCAAAAAGACTTAGACTCCCACACAGTAATAGTGGGAGACTTCAACACCCCACTGTCAGTATTAGACAGGTCAACAAGACAGAAAATTAACAAGGGTATTCATTGAACTTGGCTCTGGATCAAATAGACCTAATAGACATCTACAGAACTCTCCACCCCAAATCAACAGAAGATACATTGTTCTCAATGCCACATGACACTTATTCTAAAATTGACCAAATAATTGGAAGTAAAATACTCCTCAGCAAATGCAAAAGAACAGAAATCACAACAGTCTCTCAAACTATGGTCCAATCAAATTAGAACTAAGATTAAGAAACTCACTAAAAACCACACAACTACATGGAAATTGAACAACCTGCTCCTGAATGAATCCTGGGTAAATAATGAAATTAAGTCAAAAATCAAGAAGTTATTTGAAACCAAAGAGAACAAAGAGACAACATATCAGCATCTCTGGAACACAGCTAAAGCAGTGTTAAGAGGGAACTCTATAGCAATAAATGTCCTCATCAGGAAGTGAGAAAGATCTCAAATTGACACTCTAACATCACAATTAAAAAGCTAGCACAATCAAATTTAACAGCTAGCAAAAGACAAGAAATAACTAAGATCAGAGCAGAACTGAAGGAAACAGACACAGAAAAACCTTTAAAAATCAATAAATCCAGGATCTTGTGTTTTGAAAGAATTAAAATAGACTGCTAGCTAGAGTAATAAAGAAGAAAAGAGAGAAGAATCAGATAAACACCATAAAAAGTAATAAAGATGATATCACTACTGACCTCACAGAAATACAAACTACCATCAGAGAATACTATAAAAACCTCTATGGAAATAAACTAGAAAATCTAGAAGAAATGGATAAATCCCTAGATACATACACCCTCCCAAGACTAAACCAGGAAGAAATCAAATCCTTGAATAGACCAATAGCAACTTCTAAAATTGAGGCAGTAATTAATAGAATACCAACCAAAAAAAGCCCAGGACCAGATGGATTCACAGCTGAATTCTACCAGAGGTACAAAAAGGAGCTGATACCATTCCTTCTGAAACTATTCCAACAATTGAAAAGGAGGGACTCCTCTCTAATTTTATGAGGCCAGCATCATCTTGCTACCAAAATATGGCAGAGACACAACCAAAAAAGAGAACTTCAGGCCAATATCTCTGATGGACACCGATATGAAAATCCTCAATAAAATACTGGCAAACCAAATCCAGCAGCACATCAAAAGCCTTATCCATCACTATCAAGTCAGCTTCATCCCTGGGATGCAAGGCTGGTTCAACATATGCAAATCAATAAATGTAATCAATCACATAAACAGAACCAAGGACAAAAACCACATGATCATCTCAATAGACGCAGAAAAGCCCTTTGATAAAATTCAACATCCCTTCATGTTAAAAACCCTCAATAAGCTAGGTATTGATGGAACATATCTCAAAATAATAAGAGCTATTTATGACAAACCCACAGCCAATATCACACTGAATGGGCAAAAGATGGAAGCATTCCCTTTGAAAACCAGCACAAGACGAGGATGCCCTTTCTCCCCACTGTTATTCAACATAGTATTGGAAGTTCTGGCCAGGGCAATCAGGCAAGAGAAAAGAATAAAGTGTATTCAAATAGGAAGAGAGAAAGTCAAATTGTCTCTCTTTGTAGACAACATGATCCTATATTTAGAAAACCCTATCTTCTCAGCCCTAAGACTCCTTAAGCTGATAAGCAACTTCAGCAAACTCTCAGGATACAAAATCAATATGCAAAAATCACAGGCATTCCTATACATCAACAATAAACAAGTAGAGAGATAAATCATTAACGAACTCCCATTCACAACTGCTACAAAGAGAATAAAATACCTAGGAATACACCTAACAAGGAATGTGAAAGACTTCTTCAATGAAAACTACAAACCACTGCTCAAGGGAATCAGAGAGGACACAGACAAATGGAAAAACATTTCATATTCATGTATAGGAAGAATCAATACTGTGGAAATGGCCATACTGCCCAAAGTAATTTATAGATTCAATGCTATTCCCATCAAACTACCATTGACATTCTTCACAGAATAGAAAAAAACTACTTTAAATTTCATATGCAACCAAAAAAAGCACATATAGCCAAGACAGTCCTAAGCAGAACAAAAAAAAAAAAGAACCGAAGCTGGAGGCATCACACTATGTGACTTCAAACTATACTACAAGGCAACAGTAACCAAAGCAGCAAGGTATAGACCAATGGAACAGAACAGAGATTTCAGAAATAAGACTAGACATCTACAACCATCTGATTTTCAACAATCCTGATAAAAACAAGCAATAGGGAAATGACTCTCTATTTAATAAATGATGCTGAGAAAACTGGCTTGCCATATGCAGAAAACTGTAACTGGACCTCTTCCTTACACCTTATACAAAAATTAATTCAAGATGGTTTAAAGACTTAAACATAAAGCCCAACACCATAAAAACCCTAGAAGAAAACCTAAGCAATACCATTCAGGACATAGGCAGGGGCAAAGACTTCATGACTAAAATGCCAAAAGCAATGCCAACAAAAGCCAAAATTGACAAATGGAATCTAATTAAACTAAAGAGCTTCTGCACAGGAAAAACAACAGCAAAAACAACAACGGTCATCAGAGTGAACAGGCAACCTACAGAATGGAGAACACTTTTGCAATTTTTACCCATCTGACAAAGGTCTAATATCCAGAATCTACAAGGAACTTACAAAAATTTACAAGAAAAAACAACTCCATCAAAAAGTGGGCAAAGGATATGAACATGCACTTCTCAAAAGAAGATATTTATGCGGCCAAGAAATATGAAAAGAAAGCTCAACATCACTGATCAGTAAAGAAATGCAAATCAAAACCACAGTGAGATACCATCTCATTTCAGTCAGAATGGTGATTATTAAAAAGTCAAGAAAAAATGGATGCTGGTGGGACTGTGGAGAAATAGGAATGCTTTTACACTGTTGGTGGGAATGTAAATTAGTTCAACCATTGTGGAAGACAGTGTGGTGATTCTTCAAATATCTAGAACCAGAAATACCATTTGACCCAGCAATCCCATTACTGGGTATGTATCCCCCCAAAATATAAATTATTCTCCTATAAAACACATGCACATGTATGTTTATTGGAGCACTATTTGCAATAGTAAAGACATGGAACCAACCCAAAAGCCCATCAAAGAAAGACTGGATTAAAAAAAAATGTGGTACATATAGAACATGGAATACTATGCAGCCATAAAAAGGAATTAGATCATGTCCTTTGCAGGGACATGGCAGAAGCTGGAAGCCATCATTCTGGGCAAACTAACACAGGAACAGAAACTCAAACACCACATGTTATCACTCATAAGTGGGAATTAAACCCACATGTTATCACTCATAAGTGGGAATTAAACCCACATGTTATCACTCATAAGTGGGAATTAAACAATGAGAACAGATGAACACAGGGAGGGGAACAACACATACTGGGGCCAGTCAAGGGGTCGGGGGCAAGGGAAGGGAAAGCATTAGGACAAATAGCTAATGCATGCAGGGCTTAATACCTAGATGACAGGTTGATATGTGCAGCAAACCACCATGGCACACGTATACCTATATAACAAACCTACAATTTCTGCACTTGTATCCTGGAAATTAAAGTAGAATTTAAAAAGAAAAGTGCAAGGCTGGGAGCAGTGGCTCACGCCTGTAATCCCAGCACTTGGGAGACCAAGGTGGGCGGATCACGAGGTCAAGAGATCAAGACCATCCTGGCCAACATGGTGAAACCCCATCTCTACTAAAAATACAAAAATTAGATAGGTGTGGTGGCACACACCTGTAGTCCCAGCTACTCAGGAGGCTGAGGCACAGGAATCGCTTAAACCTGGGAGGCAGAGGTTGCAGTGAGCCAAGGTCACGCCACTCTACTCCAGCCTGGTGACAGAGTGAGACTCTGTCAAAGAGAGAAAGAAAGAAAGAAGGAAGGAAGGAAGGAAGGAAGGAAAGAAAGAAAGAAAGAAAGAAAGAAAGAAAGAAAGAAAGAAAGAAAGAAAGAAAGAAAGAAAGAAAGAAGAGAAAGAAGAGAAAGAAGAGAAAGAAGAGAAAGAAAGAAAGAAAAGAAAGAAAAGAAAGGAAAGAAAGGAAAGAAAGGAAGGAAGGTCCATACTATATGATTTTATTCACATGAAATTCTAGAAGGTAAAAATAATCTATAGATCTAAAGCTATCTTTTCAGTGGTGAGACATGTTCTTTATCTTGATCATGGTAACAGTTACATAACTACATGCATTTGTCAAAACTCAACAATCTGTACACTTAAAACAAATGCATGAATGTGGATTAATTCTCAATACAGTTGATTAAAACAAAGAGTGGTTTTAAAACTAAAACGGTTAGGAATAATAATGACAACATTAGGTATTGAACAGGTAAAGCTGCTAGTAACAGGAGATGGATAGGTGTGAAGGCTGAGGAAGAGGTAGCTGTCAAGGATGACTTACAGATTTAGGGCTTGCCTGATTGGAGTTATAGTAGTGCCATTAACTGGGAGAAGAAATACTGAAAGGGGATAATCACAGTTGAAGAGGGGATCATAAGGCTGATCCTGGACCAACTATGTCTGAATTTCCTTTGATACATCCAAGAGAGCATATTGAATAGGCTATTGTACCTCTTCAAAGGTAAAATGACTTTATTTTGACATACATCCTTATTTTACATACCTCTTGAAAGAAAAATGGCATTGACTTGCACATTTATCTAGATTTTAGAGACGTTAAAATGTGAATAAAATGTGTATTAGAATTGATGACATAGGTAAATATCAAGGACAGGCATTAAAAAAATAATCTTCAGACTCATAAGTATAAATTGGCAAATGAGTCAAAGAGAAAGCCTACAGCAAAGACTTGATGAAGTGCCCTTCCTCTGTTTCATGGATAACAGAGGAGTCTCTTATCAACTCAGAACCTTCCATGAGACACTATAGATGAGATGCTTTCTCTGGATCCTAGCTGGTAGGAGGAAGGCCTCCCTTTCCTCCCAAAATCAAGGAGCTTAATACAGAAACTCAGGAAAAACACTAGTGTTGGAAGAGGAGATGATGGTATTCACCACTTCATTCTATCAGGAAGGAGTTTCATCAATGAGCAGATATGATCATGTCCTCTTTTTTATTCAACAGATGGTCATGTGCCACACTCTCATGATTTTTCTTTCAGAGCTGCCCTCAATGTAGCTATTAACAGAATATTAGTGCATAGGGTCCTCAGGGCTCTTCCTACCAGGGATGCTCCATCTGCACTGACTCTCTGTGATTACTGGATTTCATCTCAAGCCTCTTTGTTTGCTCATGGTTGCAGCTAACTCAGCTTTAAAATTACTTCCTCATATCACCTAGGATGAGGGAATTGGGGAAGTTAAGAAATAAAGTTTGATTATTTTGAATAGTTTCAATAACCTTTGAAAGTTATTTTCAAAGGTTTTTGCCAGTGAGCAGGAGGGTGATGCTCTTATTTCATTGTAGATGCAACTAGTTTTAAAATTCACAAGGGGTGGAAAGCCTATGCAAGCAAGACAGAAAGAGAACCGAAGCTGAAATCGAGCCTGGTGAGCAGCAAGCATATTCAGATACTTAGAAAAGATACACCTGAGCTCAAGCTGCAGAAACACTGCTCAGTAGGAAGATTTAGTTAGTTGGCCAGGCGTGCTCAGAGGCACGGTAGTTACTGACAGGTATTCACTGAGCATCCTCATATAAAGGGTAGGTTTCAGGGCAAAGCTGTCATTTAGGGAGGAATTTGCATCTAAAAAGATAAGACAGGCTCACAGAAATCAATACAGAAAGGGCATTGTCTTTGAGAGAGAATATCCCGAGATTTAACTACAACTGTAGTGAAGGAGTAGTTTCTAGGTAAAGAAATATGAATTCTTAGAAACATTTACATTCTTCTTATCAAGCCCACCTGCAGCTCACCATCCATAAGAAAAATTTCTGCCAAGACGCTGAAGGCAACCTGGTAGCTACAGTTGTTATTAAAGCAGCACCAGGGGCCTCTGGTGAGGATCCCCTCAGCTTTTCTCTTTTCACATAAAGGCTGTCCCTGTTGGAGAACAGCAGGGTACTTGAACCAACCTGAAATTAAATAGCACAGGATTTGACTTCAGGATGAAGCCCTAAGGCAAATAAACCGCAGGGGCTAGGGAAGAAAAAAAATAGGCTAAGTAAATCTGAAAATTATATCTTAACTGGTTACTAGCTACTGTGAGACTAAGGAAAAAAAGATCCGTATGGAAGCACTGTAATCCCGTCAATAAATTTCTTTTCCCAGTGGTATGATTAGCAATTCTGAAACTACTTTACTTATATCCTAAGTTACACAAATAAGTAAAGGTATTGTAGATAATGATAGCTAAGTTTCACTGGTGGTGAATGATGAATCTGAATTTTCAGATGAAGTTGGAATAAGGAAAAGAAGGAGAAGCCTAAATGATCTATGCTGTGTTGAATTAGAATCCAATGTATTAGTGAAAACTCACGGACATATACACATATGCATACACACACATACACACAGGTAAAGAAATAAAGATGTGTGTGTACATGTTTTGTTATACAAAGGTATATTTTCAAGTTTTGTTCATGAAGGGGAGCTAGTAACAATTATACTGCAGTAGCAATGAACACACATAGCACCCAGATCTCGGTTTGTAATCACTGTTCCCCCATAAAAGGAATCGAGGATTCTTGAAGAAGTAGTTAATTCTAGGAAAATCAGAGCAGGAAAATATAAAATAAGCCTGGAATATATTGTGGTGCCAAAAAGTGAGATGTGCTCAAAGAGGACGGGAGCATCTCAAAAGGAACTAACCTAAAAAAGCTCCTAAGATCCAAAGGTGGAACAATTTGGGTCACAAAACAATGGTAATGTTGGAATATGCCCCACAGAATAAATTTAATATTTATGAATTAAAACTGTTATAAATAATTGAATAAATAAATGGGGAAGAAGGGACAGCTCTTCTTTACAGGCAAATAATACAAGTAAAAAAAAGAGAAAAGGCCTGGTGTGCTGGCTTACACCTGTACACTTTGGGAGGCCGAAGAGGGGTGGATCACTTGAGCTCAGGAGTTTGAGACCAGCCTGGGCATCAGGGCGAAACTCATCTCTACAAAAAATACAAAAATTAGCTGGATGTGGTGGCACGTGCCTGTAGTCCAAGCTACTCGTGAGGCTGAAGCAGGAGGGTCACTTGAGCCTGGGAAGTCGAGGCTGCAGTGAGCTGAGATTGTGCCACTGCATTCCAGCCTGGGAGACGGAATGAGGCTCTGTCTTGAGAGAGAGAGAGAGAGAGAATCATCATTAAGCAAACACCACAGTAGTAATTGCTGCAGACAAAATCTACCAATGGATGTTAAATTTGAGGATAAAAGTTTAAGAAGGAAAAGTATATTTGCATATTCTCAAAGTATCTCCCCCAAGGTATTTGTTACTTACAAAGGGAAAAATAGTAAGTTGCAGGCAAAGAAGCAAAAAATCTTCAAGTGATCCAGGGTAACATCAGCAGTAATAAGACATTGACATTATGTGCTTCTGATGTGATTCACAGAGAAGAGCACATTGCTTCTATATTATTCTTGTAAAAAATATATCACTTCAAACTAATCATGAGAAAATATTTGAAAACCCAAACTGAGAAACATTCTACAAAATAACTGACCAACAATCTTCAAACGTGTCAAGGTTATAAAAGGGAAGAAAAGACATAGGAAGTGTAACAGCCTAAGGCAGACTAAGAAGACATGACAACTAACTGCAGTGTATGATCCTGAATTGATCCTGAAACAGAAAAAGGATATTGTATGAAATTCAAATAAGGTCTGTAGTTTAGTTAACAATAGTGTCATTTATGTTAATTACTTACTTCTGAATATTATATTATGGTTATATAGAATGTTAGTATTAGAATGGGTTAAGAGTATCTGGGAATTATCTCTATTTTTGCCATTTTTTTCCTATGCCTAAAACGATTTTAAAATAAAAAGCAAAAAACAAAAGAATGCATGTGCACAGAGAAGGTGGTAGAAGATTCTGATTGTTATTACTCAAGGCCCTGATTGTAGAATTGGAAAAGTTTTAAAATCTTTGCTAGGGAAGGGAGAAAGCAATTAGGTAGGACTCAGGACTCATTGAATGCAAAATATCAGATAACCTCTGTTATAATTGAAGCTCAATAAATGTTAAGTAAATGAATAAATAAATAGTAAAATAACTTTAAAAATAATTTATGACAAAGGAAATCATCCAAGGGGACTATGTATAGTTTTTGGCTTTTGAACAAAATCAAGAGATAAGATATAGCACCATAGTAGTGACTCATAAAATACTTTGTATGCCATTGAGAATTTCATGGAGAACCCCTTTATATAAAACAGATAAACATGAAGATGTTCATGCCTAATGTAGATGTTAAGCAGCAGCACAAAAGGAGAGACAGTATTATCTCCTGTGATTTCTATTTGTTTCTTTCTTTGTTTAGTCATCTGCACTTTATAAATAGGACAGCTTTGACTAAGAAATTAACTGATAGGATGGTGGGTTATAACAAATAAATCCCTAGGTGCAGGTTTTATTTTCTCACTTTTAAATATACATATACATATATATTATATCAAATATAATTTTGTTGCTTTTTTACTGAAAAGAATGTTTATTTTTATTCTATATTTATTATAGTAAATGTTACATTAACATCCACTTTTGCATCATCTACCTGAAGTTAGATGTACTAAGTGGATATGCTATATGCCTATTTAACACTCTTGTTTTGTATTATAAATAACTAGTAATCTAGTGGACACTTCATGAGAACAACTCTAGAATAGAGCAACATCCATATTTCAGCTCAGCTTTAAAATAATCAGGGGTTCTTCTTAAACGATGTCAGACAATCAATTCACACTGAACTCTTTTAGTCATAATCATCAAAACTATCTCCAAATATGTTATTTCTTGGCTTAAAAATCTGTTCTATTTAAAACACAATAACTCTTGGTCACAGATGCAAATATGTACATTAATTAGACATAAAGGTAATGAAAATGAAACTAATGAATGTGAAGAAACAAAAATACTTAGAAGAAACACATATTCAGAGTATTGTTATTAACAAAATAGATCCCCTTTATATTATAAAAAGCTAGTATAACACAAATCCAAGCTTATTTTTGATTATTTCAAACACACAGGAACTTTAAGAGTCACTGAATTTGAGTCTCCAGTGCCACGATCTTGATTTTGCCATTGATCCAGTTAGAATGTTCAGATTCTCTTGTCATTATTATTGTATTAATAGTAAAAGGACTTAACATGAAATCTACCCTCTTAACAATACTGTATTGTGCACTTAAAAATTTTTAGGCACAGTGTTGTACAGCAGATATCTGGAACTTGTTTATCTTATATAATTGAAACTTTATACCTGCTGAACAGTTACTCCCTATTTTGCCTTCCCTTTAGGCTAAACCACCTCTGTTTAGTACTTGGGATCCAAGAAAAGCTTATGACTAATTATCTGGAATCACTAGGCAGTGATCAAAGATCATTAAAGTACTTTAGATAATTGATTTGCATGGTTTAATGATACCTAAATTGAATTTACTTCTAAGTTATACATAATGAAATCCTCTGAAGATTTTGTATTTCTGAGATGATGTTGTCACAAACCTCTCAGAAGTTTGTCATATAAAAGGAAAAAGAAAAGATTATTTTTCAAGAATGTACAGAAAGTATTACTATTTCTTCTGCCTATATATGATCCCATAATTTGGCAAAAAAGTATAATCATAGAATAACAAATCTTTATCAAATTCTGATCTAGTTAAATCAGGCTTTGAGACACACAGTTAAAGTTGTCAGTTTTTCTTCATTATACGTGGCCTACTATTAGTAGATTGGAATACATTTGGATAATAGGTATTTTTTACTCTATTTTTGTGTCCCTCTCTCTATCACCAATGTTGTCGTTTTTATGGCTTTCTTTAAAAAAACCCTTAATACCGTAAATATTTTAAAATTTCAAATTCTGTCACAGAAGGTGAGAAATAATTCTCTATATTCTGTCTGAATTTGACCTAACTCTGTCATATATTTCAGTTCAGTTCACATTGTTTTCAGGACACTTAAATGTTTATGCACTTAATTTTTGTAATATCAACTACACAAAGGTAGTGACACAGAATAAAATATCTTGATTGTTGAGTAAATTTGTATGCATTTCAGATGAAGCTTCGTTTTTCAGCCAGAATATACATTTTTCAAGTTGTTTTTTCTGACAATCTTTTATCATGTCTTCCTGCCTAGTTCACAATAACCATGTAACACCACCTCTTTAATTTTTTTAATTGAACTAAGATTATAGAAATTCTGACATTGGAGGGAAACAAATCATCAGTCACATACATGAACATAAAATATAACTATTAATGAATGTGCCTGGTAATCTAATACACTTCACAAGACCTTTATTTAATAAAGCCATCTTCTTCCTGGTTTAGTCTTGGGAGGGTGTATGTGTTGAGGAATTTATGCATTTCTTCTAGATTTTCTAGTTTATTTGCATAGAGGTATTTATAGTATTCTCTGATGGTAGTTTGTATTTCTGTGGGATCGGTAGTGATATCCCCTTTATCAAAGGATATGAACAGACACTTCTCAAAAGAAGATATTTATGCAGCCAAAAGACACATGAAAAAATGCTCATCATCACTGGCCATCGGAGAAATGCAAATCAAAAACTATATTGAGATACCATCTCACACCAGTTAGAATGGCAATCATTAAAAAGTCAGGAAACAACAGGTGCTGGAGAGGATGTGGAGAAATAAGAACACTTTTACACTGTTGGTGGGACTGTAAAGTAGTTCGACCATTGTGGAAGTCAGTGTGGCAATTCCTCAGGGATCTAGAACTAGAAATACCATTTGACCCAGCCATCTCATTACTAGGTATATACCCAAAGGATTATAAATCATGCTGCTATAAAGACACATGCACACATATGTTTATTGTGGCACTATTCACAATAGCAAAGACTTGGAACCAACCCAAATGTCCAACAATGATAGACCGGATTAAGAAAATGTGGCACATATACACCATGGAATACTATGCAGCCATAAAAAAATGATGAGTTCACGTCCTTTGTAGGGACATGGATGAAGCTGGAAACCATCATTCTCAGCAAACTATTGCAAGGACAAAAAAACCAAACACCACATGTTCTCACTCATAGGTGGGAATTGAACAATGAGAACACATGGACACAGGAAGGGGAACATCACACACTGGGGCTTGTTGTGGGGTGGGGGGAGGGGGGAGGGATAGCATTAGAAGATATACCTAATGTTAAATGACGAGTTAATGGGTGCAGTACACCAACACGGCCCATGTATACATATGTAACAAACCTGCACATTGTGCACATGTACCCTAAAACTTAAAGTATAATAAAAAAATTAAAAATAAATAAAAATAAATAAAAAAAGCCATTTATCCAACATTATTGGGGTCGAATAGGTACTCTGGATGCAAAGCATTCATTTTCATGATGATTTGAGTTTCTCTGCATTCTAAGTTCTTGCTAACTTGTCTGTAATTATTTTTAAACATCTCAATTTGTTAATTTTAATTTATACCCTTGCAATGGTTAGTTAGCCCCTAATGTTCCCTAATTTGGAATACAAAATCTTTGGTAGAGTGTTAGATGCTCTTCAAAGTTCAGCAATTCAGAGGTGTTCTGAACCAAAATTTTTGATGATGTTTATCTGCAGTCAGTGTCAATGGGCTTATTAATTAGCATAATGGATGGAGAAATTGTTTGAATTTGTTCCGTAGGAATGATTCTGGTGCTGGTTAAGATTCTAGTTCTCTGTTCAGTGGTCTACACAGGATGCTGTCACCTGACTTAATCCTGACAGTGGAACAATTCTACCTCTGCTTTTACTACATCTTTCATGCAAGATAATTGTCTCAGTGCTTAGAAGGAAAGATTATTGGGAATGCATTGAGTTTGCAGAACGGGACTATTTTTATATCAGTTTACATGAAAATCCTTTTCACATAACTTGTTGTCCTTGTTATTGGTGAATGTCATATTGGAACATCTACACATCTTTTATTATTGGATGCAATAAATATGCTAAAAGGAACTTAACAGTATAAATGGCCAAATCAAATATTATCAGTTTGCAACAATACCAAAGGCATTATCTTGAAATGTGGAAAATGTAAATTCATAAGTTATATAAATCATATATGATTTAATGTAAAATGAAATTTCAAAAGTAAAGAAAAAACAGTATTGTAAATTATTATTTAAGTACTCTTATGTGCAAATCCCTTTTTTTGTTTCCTAATCTTTTTAAATGTAGTCATCTTAAATACAATTATAGATATAACAAGCTCAGGCTCTAACTGAAGAGAATAAGTGCTGGCTACACTAGAAGGGAGGTGACATTCATAGCAGTTCTCTGCCTGGAGCTATGTATACAAAGTTAATATTTTTTCCTGAGAAAGAAAAGATTCTTATTTGCTAAGAAAGAGAGATTTTAAAAAATCCCTTCCAAATTCTTTTCTGCTTCTGTACCTGTGCTAGTTTACTAGAAAAAAAAATTACTATTTTAGTCTTGTCCAGACACCTGAAACCATTAAGGAAAATACTCTAACCGTATTGCAAGTCTCTGGTGACTATTTTCTCTTGGAAAATATCTTAGTTGATAAAGAGTGAAGTGGTTATATATGGCTGCTTTTCTACTCTTTCTTGCCTAATCTACCCCATTCTAACCATAACTGAACCCCTATTTTCTAATAATTTAAACACCTGGCAGCTCCCTTAAAATACTAATTTTGAGAAATAGAGAAAATACTTTGACAATAATTTTTCTTATAAGTTAATGTGGGATTCATATTTTTGAAAAAATAAAATGCTAATGAGACAGCCAAGTAAAAAGGGCTCCCCAGAGAATCTCCAACTGGCCTGTGCACTGGGAGGACTAGGATGGAGCCTCAGGAAGTTCATGTCATTTGCAGGGGGAGAGGGCCCTGGCCTCTCCTGTTCCTGGGTGGGGACCTGGGATTCAATCAGTGAGGTGGAGAGCCTGTTAGCAAGGCTTCATCTCATTTTGCTGAGTTGTTTTTCCTTTCGGCCCAATAAATTTCACTCCTCGCCTTCCTGTGTGTCTGTGAGCCTAATCTTTTCTGGTCATGTGACAAGAACCTGTTTTTATCTACAAGACTAAGGTCTGATAAAATTAGTCTAGTTAATCTAGACCATAATACTGGAACAGCTACACATTTCTGTTACGGAACTGGAAAACTGTAACTGAACAGGAGAATATATGACTGACTACTTTTACCCCTTACCAGGAATATTTTTGGAGCTATGAACTCTACCAATAAACTTTCCTTCTCAGATAGAATATTTCATATTTCCTGTTACTGCATTTTTAAATCCATAATGGATGATAATTATCACATCAATTGTCTCCATTGAGCCCATGTTGATTTTGCCAGCAATTTCAATACAAACTTTGAGTATGAGCATGAATCAAAATGACAAAAGTTTAACATAATGTTTTTCATGTGTTTTCATTTCAGAAATGAGGGTGTTTTACCAGGGTTTTGTCAGAAAACATTTAATAATTATGATTTTTAAATTTAAAAGTAAAGGTTTTGTTTGAGCTATAATTAGAAGTAGAAGCTTTGTTATAGTTGTATTGCCTTTTAGCAGGAATTTGCTTTCCCTGTTAACTCTAGAGTTAACATAAAGTATGTGGTTGATTCATAAAGGGCCTTAATAATGTACTTAGCTCATATTGATTCAAAAATATATGCTGGGGTATTCTCCTAAGGCTGGAATGCATTGCCAGATGTCTTCCTGTTTTCCTCATTACAAAAATTGCAGCAGCTCATATTTTCTTTAGACTACACAAATATACCTCCTTTGATTTTAAAGTTTTTTTTTTAAATTTAGGAGTTATTAAATAGAAAACCATGATTACTGTGTAAATAAGCTTTATGAATAAGTAACTAAAGATGATCATGCTGGATGCTCAGACCATAGCACTTTAGATTCATTCTTCCCTCCCTGCTGATGAAGACTGGAGAAGGAGAATGATTTCTCCCACAAATTATAACAGGTTAATAGTGTCTGTTAAAAGAATATTTCAGATGCATGCTAGCATTATTTTGTTTCCATGATATAGATATCATCTATGATTTATGACTAAATCTCAAGTGCATCTTATAGGACCTACATATTTTAAATGAATCTGCTTCAATCAGAAATCTCATATTTATATATGATCATTCATTTAGAATTATGTGATATAGTGAAATGTTCTCTAATTTGCTACCAGTTCTTGAAAGGACATTATCAAGAGGGTGCTGTAGCTCTTAAAAATATAATTTAGTAAAAGATCCTGTATTCTACTAAAATAGAAGATTTCATTTATTTGCCATTAGATTATTAAATTATAAATCTCTTTAAATGAAACTCATTTGATCAATGGCTTTATACACTATACAATACTTGTCATGAACGTGACTATTAGTATCAGTAGGCCTGTTGTGTTTTCTTTAATTTAAACAAAAATTTAAACTTTTTAAATTTTTTTATTCCAAATTTTGTTTTACATTCAAGAGGATACATGTGCATGTTTGTTATATGGGTAAATTGCATGTCCTGGGGATTTAGTGTACAGATTATTTCATCACCCAGGTAATAAGCATAGTACTCAATAGGTAGCTTTGTAATCCTTACCTTCCTCTCACCTTCCACTCTCAAGTAAACCCCAGAGTCTATTATTCCTTCTCTGTGTTCATGTGTACTCAGTATTTAACTCCCACTTATAAATGAGAACCTGCGGTATTTGATTTTCTGTTCCTATGTTAATTTACTTATAATAATGCCCTCCAGCTCTATCCATGTTGCTGTAGAGGACATGAACTCATTCTTTTTATGGCTGCATAGTATTTCATGGTGTATGTGTACCACATTTTCTTTATCCAAGAAAACTCAAATTTTTGGATTTTAGCCAAATCCAGCCCACTGCCTCTTTTTGTAAATAAAGTTTTATTCAAACACAGCCACATTGGTTTGTTTCCTTATAATGTATGACATATTTGGCACTACAGTGGCAGAACTGATATTTGTGACAGAGACTGGATGACCTACAAAACTGAAAATACCACCTGCTTCTTTACAGAAAATGCTTGTCCACTGCTGATCTAGATTATGAAATATCTCCATTTTATACATTAATATATTTACATGGCTTCCATGACATTTTGCAGAGAACCATGTACCACAAATTCACGTATTCCTGGTTTGATTATCATAAGCACTCCTAGACCAGGGTCATTTGCTAAGAGTATTATATCAATAAGAACTATCATGCTAGAAAATATTAGTTTATTACACAAGGTCTGTTTTCAGCATGTTTAAAAGATTGGATTGTGCCACTTGTTTTCTTTCTTTCTTCAAAGTTTTCTTCTGGAAAGAAGAGAGAAATAAATTGCGTGCCAGCTGCTTAATATGCCTAGTGTTCCATTATTGGAACGCAAAGAATGTGGAAGTTATTTATATCCTACTGCTCAAGGTCATCACCAAGGTCTGATTGCAAAAATTCAAAAAATTGCCACCTCAGGCATAAATGGATTAATCTTTCTTTCCCAGGCCTTGATTCTCCTGCGTCAGAGATAGGTCCATAAAAAATACCAATTTTGCATAAATATTTTAACAATGATACATATTTTCAGAGTGCCTCCACATATATACTGTTTTTCATATGCCTAATCTCAAACACCCTCTAATTAAGATAGGTCAGTCATATTTTTAACATATTCTAACATATTAGAAAGCAAGTTCAGGAATATTAAATCATTGTTCAAAGCATGTATCACAAACTATTCTGAAATTTGGATTTTTCACTCTTAGCCTTGTATGATTTCTGTCACACAACAATGAATATATATTTCATTATAATAATTCTGTAAGACACACTTAAAGGTGTAAATACATTGAAGGCACAGGACTTAGAGGAAGTGAATGAAGTGAGGTTGTGTATCTGATAGGTTAAGAGTAAAGATTCTGGAGGTAGGGTACTAGAGATCTACCACTTACAAAATGTTTTACCTCAACAAGTTCTCCAAGCCTCAGTCTCCCCATATGGCTGTCATTTAGGATAAAATGACAGCCATATATACAGCCATCCATCAATATCCACAGGGGATTGGTTCTAGGACTTCCCATGGATATCAAAACTCACAGATATTCAGGCCCTTATATATACATTGGTGTAGTACTTTCATATAACCTATGCACATCTTTCTATACACCATGAATCATCTCTAGATTATTTACAATACCTAATACAATGTAAATGCTGTGTAAATAATTGTTGTACTGAATTGTTTAGGAAATAATAAAAAAAATCCTGTACATGTTCAGTACAAAGCAACTATCCATTTTTTTCTCCCTAAATATTTTCAATCAATGTTTTGTTGAATTCACAGATGCAAAGTCCATGGATACAGAGACCAGATTGCATACTGCTTTGATAGGGGCCTGAATAGAGAGTGAGCATTAAAGAAACAATAGCTATCATATTGCAGGGTAAAACTCTCAAAATTAGTGAGATAAATTATAGGAGTAAAACACTGACTCACACTAATTTAGAGTAACTGAAATGAAGATGATCTTAATTATAAACTATTTTAATGCAGTTTGAGTTTATTTCAGTGAACAGTCATGCCGTAACATAGTGGGATAAGAATGAACAAGTGAAGTGTAAGGTATGTGAAAAGTTGGATTTTCAGATTTCTAAAGTAGCATTTAATCGAGAACTTGACCCCATCAAAATATGCATTTCATGCAAACACATGGAGATTAATAAAATCTTATTGAGTGTGAAGTTATTCTGGTCTTTTGCCTATTTCTCCCTCTACACACTTTTCCTGGATTTTCAGCTATTCTTATATATTTAATTTTCATTGATGTTTGACTCCCAGCCTAGATCTGTCTATCCCTGGAAATGCAGGGCCATGTATTCCACTGCTGTCTCAATATCTCTATTTGCATATTTCACAGACCCTTCAAACCCGACATCTCCAAACTAATCTTATCACCTCCATCTATTACATTTTTCCAAAGAAAAACCTAGAAAACATCCTCAACTCCTTATTTTCACTTATTCTCCATTTGCACTTCATCACCAGGTTCAGTTGATGTCACCTTATTTTTCACATAATTCCATATCTATTGTTACCAACCTAATCCAGTTCTTTATCATCCCTTACCTACCACAGTCTCCTAATTGGTCTGTATGTGTGACCTCTTGCTTCTCCACTAGCAATTGATATTTCTTTATATTTCTAATACAGTGATCTTTTCAAAATAGATATATACGAATCAAACAGTCAGCAAACTTTTTCTAAAGAGTCAGGTAGTAAATATTTTAGGCTTTGTAGGTCATATGATTTCTGTCATAACTACTCAACTATATTAGTCCATTTTCATGCTGCTGATAAAGACATACCTGACCCTGGGTAATTTATAAAGAAAAAGAGGTTTAATGGACTCACAGTTCCATGTGGCTGGGGAGGCCTCACAGTCATGGTGGAGGGTGAAAGGTATGTCTTACATGGCAGTAGCAAGAGAGAATGATGGCAAAGTGAAAGAGATTTCCCCTTATAAAACCATCAGATCTTGTGAGACTTATTCACTACCACAAGAACAGTATGGAGAAAACCACTGCCATAATTCAATTATGTGCCACCAGGTCCCTCCCACAGCACATGGGAATTATGGGAGCTAAAATTAAGATGAAATTTGGGTGGAGACAGAGCCAAACCATATCATTCCACCTCAGCTGCTCCCAAATCTCATTTCACATTTCAAAACCAATCATGCCTTCCCAACAGTCCCCCACAGTCTTAACTCATTTCAGCATTAACCCAAAAGTCCACAGTCCAGAGTCTCATCTGAGACAAGGCAAGTCCCTTCTGCTTATGAGCCTATAAAATCACAAGCAAGTTAGTTACCTCCTAGATACAATGGGGTACAGGCATTGGGTAAATACGGTTGTTCCAAATAGGAGAAATTGACCAAAACAAAGGGGCTACAGGGCCCATGCAAGTCTAAAATCCAGCTGGGCCGTCAAATCTTAAAGCTCCTAAATGATCTGCTTTGACTCCTGGTCTTGAATCCAGTTCATGCTGATGCAAGAGGTGGGTTTCTGTGATCTTGGGCAGCCCCACCCCTGTGGTTTTGCAGGGTACAGTCTTCCTCCTGTCTGCTTTCACAAGCTGGTGTTGAGTGTCCATGGCTTTCTCAGGTGCATGGTGCAGGCTATTGGTGGATCTACCATTCTGGGGTCTGGAGGATAGTGGCCTTCTTCTCACAACTCCACTGGGCAATGCCCCAGTGGGGACTCTGTGGGGGTGCCCACTCCACATTTCCCTGCTGCACTGCCTTAGCTGAAATTCTCCATGAGGGCCCCTTCCCTGCAGCATACTTCTGCCTGGACATCCAGGCATTTCCATACATCCTTTGAAATCTAGGAGGAGGTTTTCAAACCTCAATTCTTGACTTCTGTGTACTTGCAGGCTCAACACCATGTGGAAGCTGGCAAGGTTTGGAGCTTGTACCCTCTGAAACCATGGCTCCAGTTATAAGCTGGCCCCTTTTAGCCAGAGTGGCTGGGACACAGGGCACCAAGCCCCTATGCTGTACACAGCAGGGGGACCCTGGGCTTGGCCCAGGAAATAATTTTTTCCTTCTATGCCTCTGGACCTGTGATGAGAGGGGCTGTTGTGAAAATCTCTGACATGCCCTGGAGACATTTTCCTCAGTGTCTTGGTGATGAACATTTGGTTCCCTGTTACTTAGGCACATTTCTGCAGCTGGCCAGAATTCCTTCTAAGAAAATCGATTTTTCTTTTCTACTGCATCATCAGGTTGCAAATTTTCTGAACTTTTATGTTCTGTTTTCCTTTTAAAACAGTATGCCTTTAACAGCACCTGAGTTACCTCTGAAATGCTTTGATGCTTAGAAATTTCGTTCACCAGATACCCTAAAACATCTCCCTCCCTTAACTTCAAATTTCCACAGATCTCTAGGGCAGGGCAAAATGTCACCAGTGTCTTTGCTGAAACATAGCAAGAGTCACTTTTACTCCAGTCCCCAAAAAGTTCCTCATCTCCATCTGAGACCACTTCAGCTTGGATTTCGTTGTCTATATCATTATCAGCATTTTGTTCAAAGTGATTCAACAAGTCTCTAGCCAGTTCCAAACTTTCCCACATTTTCTTATCTTATTCTGAGCCCTCTGAACTCTTTCAACCTCTGCCTGTTACCCCGTTACAAAGTTGCTCTCACATTTTCAGGTATCTTTACAGCAGCACCTCACTCTACCAGTATCAGTTTACTGTATTAGTCCATTTTCATGCTGCTGATAAAGACCTATGCAAGACTGGGTGATTTATAAAGAAAAAGAGGTTTAATGGACTCAGTTCCATGTGGCTTGGGACTCCTCACAATCATGGTGGAAGGTAAAAGGCATGTCTTACATGGTGTGGCAAGAGAGAATAAGGGTGAAGTGAAGGGGTTTTCCCTAGTAAAACCATCAGATTTCATGAGACTTATTCACTACCATGAGAACAGTATGGGGGAACCACTCCATGATTCAATTATGTGCCACCAGGTCCCTCTCACAACATGTATAAATTATGGGAACAAGATGAGATTTGGGTGGGGACACAGGCAAACCAAATTATCAAGTCTGCTGTTGTAGCACAGAAGCAGCCATAGACAGTATGTAAATCAATAAATATTGCCAATTTTTCAAAAATGGGTGGATGGTTCTATTTAGCCAGTGGGCTGGAGTGTTTCAACCCTTGTGATAATATATTGCTTGAACACAATGTATTAGTCCATTTTTATGCTGCTGATAAAGACATACCCAAGACTGGGAAGAAAAAGAGGTTTGATGGCTAACAGTTCCACATGGCTGGGGAGGCCTCACAATTATGGTGGAAGGCAAAGAGGAGCAAGCCACATCTTACACGGATGGGGACAGGCAAAGAAAGAGAGCTTGTGCAGGGAAACTTCTCTTTATAAAATGATCAGATATTGTGAGACTTAGTCACTATCACAAGAACAGTACAAAAAAGACCTCCCCTGCTCCTATTATTCAATTACCTCCCACTGAGTCTGTCTCATGACACATGGGAATTGTGGGTGTTACAATTCAAGATGATATTTGGGTGGAGACACAGCCAAACCATATCATTCCACCCCTGGCCCCTCGCAAATCTCATGTCTTCACATTTCAAAGCCAATCATGCCTTCCCAACAGTCCCTCAATGTCTTAACTCATTTTAACAATAACCCAAAAGTCCACAGTCCAAAGTCTCATCTGCAACAAGGCAAATCCCTTCTGTCTATGAACCTGTAAAATCAAAAGCAAGCTAGTTACTTCCTAGATACAATGGGGGTACAGGTATTGGGTAAATACAGTTTTTCCAAATGGGAGAAATTGGCCAAAACAAATGGACTACAAGCCCCATGCAAGTCTGAAATCCAGCTGGGCAGTCGTCAAATCTTAAACCTCTAAAATAATCTCCTTTGATTCCATGTCTCACATCCAGGTCACACTGATGCAAGAGGTGAGTTGCCATGGTCTTGGGCAGCTCCTCCCCTGTGGCTTTGTAGGGTACAGCCCCCTCCTGGCTGCTTTCACATGCTGATGTTTACTGTCTGCGCCTTTTTCAGGCACACAGTACAAGTTGTAGGTGGACCTACCATTCTGGGATCTGGAGGATGGTGGCCCTCTTCTCACAGCTCCACTGGGCAGTGCCCCAGTGGGAATTCTGTGTGGGTCTGTGACCCTGTATTTCCCTTCCACACTGCCCTTGCACAGGTTCTTTATGAGTGCCTCATCCCTGCAGCAAACCTCTGCCTGACAGGTGTTTCCATACATCCTGTGAAATCTAGGTGGAGGTTCCCAAACCTCAATTCTTGACTTCTGTGCACCCGCAGGCTCAACACTACATGGAAGCTGCCAAGGCTTGAGGTTTGCACCCTCTGAAGCCACAGCCCAAGCTGTAGCTTGGCCCCTTTTAGGCATGGCTAGAGTGGCTGGGATGCAGGGCACCAAGTCCCTAGACTGCACACAGCAAGGGGGCCATGGGCCTGGCCCAGGAAACCACTTTTTCTTCCTACACCTTCTCCTCTGGGCCTGTGATGGAAGGGGCTGCCATGAAGACCTCTGACATGCCCTGGAGACAATTTCCCCATTGTCTTGGTGACTAACATTTGGTTCCCTGTTACTTATGCAAATTTCTGCAGCCAGCTTAAATTTTTCCTCAGAAAGTGGGGTTTTCTTTTCTAATGCAATCAGGCTGCAAATTCTCTGAAATTTCATGCTCTGTTTTCCTTTTTAAGAGTGAATGCTTTTAATGTCACCCAAGTTGCCTCTTGAATGCTTTGCTGCTGAGAAATTTTAATCACCAGATACCCTAAATCACCTCCCTCAAGTTCAAAGTTCCACAAATCTCTAGGACAGAAGCAAAATGCCACCAGTTTCTTTGTTAAAGAATAACAAGAATACTCCAGTTCCCAAAACTTCCTCATCTCCATCTGAGACCACCTTAGACTAGATTTCATTGTCTATGTCACTATCAGCATTTTGGTCAAAGCCATTCAGCAAGTCTCTAGGCAGTTCCAAACTTTCCCACATTTTCCTGTCTTCTTCTGAGCCCTCCAAACTGTTCCAACCTCTGCCTGTTACCTTGTTCCAAAGTTGCTTCCACATTTTCAGGTATCTTTACAGCAGCACTCCATTCTACCGGTACCAATTTACTGTATTAGTCCATTTTCATACTGCTGATAAAGACATACATGAGACTGAGTAATTCATAAATGAAAAGAGGTTTAATGGACTCACAACTCCACGTGGCTGGGGAGGCCTCACGACCATGGCAGAAGGCAAAGAGGAGCAAGTTGTGTCTTACATGGATGGTGGCAGGCAAAGAGAGAGAGCTTGTGTAGGAGAACTCCTCTTTATAAAACCATCAGCTCTCATGAGACTTATTCACTA
Organism: Homo sapiens; assembly: GCF_000001405.40. Lineage (NCBI taxonomy): Eukaryota > Metazoa > Chordata > Mammalia > Primates > Hominidae > Homo > Homo sapiens. The sequence continues at coordinate 49,126,534 of NC_000006.12, read as the reverse complement.
TCATGAGAACAGCACAAGAAAGACCTGACCCCATTATTCAATTGCCCCCAACTGGGTCCCTCCCATGACACATGGGAATTGTGGGAGTTACAACTCAAGATGAGATTTAGGTTGGTACACAGCCAAAACATATCATACACCAATGGTTTTCCAATTCTTTTGCATAAAATTTCTAATTCTTTACGTGGTCCTTCAGTATCTGAGCTGAATACTCTCTATCCCTTCTGACTTCCCCATTTTCTTTTAATTTATTGAAACACCAAGAATTCTCATTTCTTAGAACCTAACACATCTCTTTAAAAGTAGGGTTTTTTTCTATTTTTCAAATAAAGAGATGCTATTCAATTTTCCTTTTACTTCTTATAAGTCTTCTATTTTGCTCAAGCTAATTTAGGTTTCTCTTACTTGCACATTTTCACTTTCTGTAGAATTATGGTGGCCCATGAAGAGATAGTAGTCTCCTTGTAAATCTAAACTTCTTTAAAATCCATATTTAAAAAAAAATTCCTTCTCTCTATTGCAGCACTATCTTCCCTCTGATCCCACACCCTTTAAAGCTCAGTTTTCACTTTCCAAGAAGCAAGTGTTCTGATCCGCCAGGTCAGATTACCCCTTCTCTTTCTGGGGTTGATTTATATGTATTTTACTGCTGTTCTGTCTTTTCTTTACCTACATTGTCTCTGCGTGATTCTCCACTGTAACATGGGCTCTGGAGCTGGCTGTGCTTATTTGGAATGTTTACATCCTGACTTACATATGAAGACCAATATCCACACACAACCTACTTTCATAAAGAGGCCACACCTATTCCCTACCAAGGAAGAATCTTTTCAAAACTCACATTGCATCCAGCATATAGTTCACATTCTCAGTTGAGGTCCAGTCCTTGCCACATGCTAAAAAGCAAATTACATGCACCATTTAAAACTTGGGAGATAAAACAGGGTAAAATAAGAAGAAGGAATAATGGGAAATTGAGGAGTCACTGACTCATAGCAATTATCAAATTCACGTTAGACAGACTTACCAGACTTCTCACTCTAGCCATGAAGTTTTCCAGCTAGTTTTGCTCTATAAAAGAAATTCTTGTCCACTGTCGCCTATAGTCATTGGATTTGTGCAATCCCACCTTCTTTCCTTTTTATTTATTTATTTTTTGATCTATTATTCTGCAATGTTGGAACTTAAGTGGGCTTTGGGAGATACCCTTCCTGCATACTGCACAACTGTTTTGCCTGTTTTATTTTTCCTTAAGAAAGTCAATAATTCTTGAGACTGAAAATATTATATATTTTCATCTTTCAAAATCACCTTTTCATAGACATTCTAGTAAAAGAGATATTAATGATGGAAATCAACTAATGTGGAAATTAGTTCCTCTGCCACACACACACACACACACACACACACACACGTTATGCAAAATTTATCAAGCCTGGAAGTTTGTCTCTTACAGTTGTCTGATTTTGGAAGTGGCTTCTAGCATAATTCAGAAAGCAATTAAGTCAGAAAAAGTAATCTTATGCTTAATGCAGCTATAGACATCACTTTTGTAATTGAACTGTAGGCAGATTAAAATTGAGGTTTTTCAACCAACGTTTTATGGAATACAAAATAAAATACATTTTATCTAAACTTTAAACACCCATTAATGAGAAAGATGACTTCTCTGGTCCAGAAAAAAATTTTAACATAAATAATGATCAAAAATAAATATATGAGGGTTTCCGGCATTGCATCTTGTTACATCTGGTATTGCATACATATTGTTATACTTTGTTAGTTATATGATTGCATTTTACATTTTTAGAAGAATGATTAAGAAAATTATTTTGCACAATTTTTACTAAAAATTGCTACTGTCTTGAGAATGAATCCCTGAAGAGATTATATTTATTCAATAATCTCATTTCCAAATGCAAAACCACTTCCTTCTTAGAAAAGTATCAGTAACTACGGAATCTTTTTTTTTTTTTTTTTTTTTTTTTTTTGAGATGGAGTCTTGCTCTGTTGCCAGGCTGGAGTGCAATGGCACAATCTTGGCCCACTGCAACTTCTGCCTCCCGGGTTCAAGTGATTCTCCTGCCTCGGCCTCCCATGTAGCTGGGACTACAGGTGCCCGCCACCACACCCAGCTAAGTTTTGTATGTTTAGTAGAGATGGGATTTCACCATGTTGGCCAGGATGGTCTCGATCTCTTGACCTCGTGATCTGCCCGCCTTGGCCTCCCAAAGTGCTGGGATTACAGGCGTGAGCCACCGCGCCTGGCCTGATTTTTTAATAAAATAATTTTGTAAGTAAAATAAATTAAAATGGTGTATGTATTTCAGAATGTAGTATATTAAAGTTTATGGGAGTCTATCATTTTGAACCGCATTCCTGCACTAGGCCCCAATACACCAGATCAAACCAGAATGAATACACTCATTTTAGGTGCCACGTAATCAAACTGAACTTTGAAATGAGACATTTTTAAAAAAAACAAAAAACAGGAAAATCACAGCAAATAATCAGAAGGGGCCCAGTCAAGCTGAGCTGAAAAAAGAGTCCTCTCCATAATAAAAAAAGTCCTCTCTGCTTAAAATCCACTTATTTTTTTGTTTCTGCTTTTTTCAACCTTTTCTACATATAAAGCCCACCTCCTATGCTTGGCTCATTGAACATTTTCTATTTTACAGATGGGATTCTGACTGGTTTATAAATTGCTAATAAAAACCAATTCAATCATTCAACTCACTTTGCTGAGATTTTGTTATTTGATGAGGAAAACATTAATGTAATGAAAATTTATAAATTATTGTGACAGACTCTGCTAATTGACTTAACGATATTCATTCTTTTGATTTTGCTTATGAAAAGAACCTTTTATTCACAGTTTGTGACCAAGTAACACAAAGCAAAACTACATTCCTAGTTTCCCTTCCAAATAAGATAAAGGTTCAAGCGCTGGTCTTCCTTTCCTGATAAGGAAACCATAAGGACCGTCTAGATATGTTCTCCCACCTCAAGCAATACAGACAGGAGCTAATAGTGGGGCCGTCATCTTGTGGCCATGAGACTTTTATGAGAATGAGAGGCCTATACTAAGAATGGTGTTTTGGAAAGACAGAAGGTGTCTGGGGCATAGAGGACACTGTGAAGCTACTGAACCAGCTCTGATCTATTAATCTTTGGATTTCGTATGTCAGACAAAAATAATTTTTTATTTGGTCAAGATACTGTAAAGAAATTTCAATTAATGCAGCAAATCACCAGTTCTGTCTGAAAAACAATTTAATGAAAAAGTCTTACAGCAAAATTTTAATGGCAGACAATGACTCATCTCTTAGATAGTATAGGTCCTGAATACATTCTTGCAGAGTGATCAGTTACAAATAACTCTGAATCTTTTATTTGAACATAAACACAAAAGGAGTCTATGCATTATTTTATAGAATACTTTCTACCTCATAATGCTAAAAGTTCTAGACATATACGTAAATGTGTATTCAAATTAATTAGAAAATAAGATTTATTACAAATATGACCATATATTCTGAGTGCTTTTGTTTTACAGGTAGCATAGATCTAACCACTGTTACGGGCAGTCAGATTTATTATGAAACAGTTGACAAAACCCTCATTATGTGTATGGCCCAGACTCTAAAATAGGGTTTCTTGTGCTTTCCATGTTTGGAGGCATGCAGTGGTATAAAATTAATTGTCAAGTGAATAATTTATTAAAAATAAATTGCTACAAAATGCTATAATGCTACAAAAATGATAATGCCTACTGACAGATGGATAAAATGCATTTGCAACAAATTTGAAAAGATGAAGGGGCTTTTTGATGAGGCTCTTTAATGATTTATGGCTGTCTTCTCTTTCATCCTTTTGTTTCAAAACAGAATTTTTAGCTAATTCTTTGGTCTATGTTAAAGCATACCTGGCCATCTGCATCTCAGCTCCTTTGAGAGTCTGTTCTGTTATTAGTGATGTAATGCTTGAGTAGTTAAGTTCAGGAAATGTTTGGCATAGATAATGGCAGCTACAGGCAAGATGCCAGGCAGACCAGATAATCGAATGGGTTTTTTTTATAGGTTCCATATATCAGACAGGTGGAGATAAACCAGTTCTACTTGAATTTGCAAAAATTCTCTTTAGTCTTATTTAAACATGCTTTTGTTAGATGGTGGAGAGTGCCAGAAAAGTCTGTTTCCAGTGAACAAACTAAAAGCTAAACATCTGTGGAAAGACAGTTACATTTGAACAATTGATGCGAACTTACCAAATTATGAGATCTGAATAATGTCATCTATAATTATCTATGTGTAGGATAGTAATACAGTCATACAATTCCAAATTAATGTGTCATAGGTAGTGCATCAACAACAATGAACACCTTAGGGGATATTTGAGAAACATTTAGTCCCCGGAGGCTTTGCAGTCACAGTTGGTGCATCCCTCTCTTATAACTTCAGTTTTTCTATTTTGCTTTCCTCTGCCAGTTGCCTACTCAATCTCCTGTCCGCAGTATTCCTTCTAAAAAATTCTCCAGGTTTTGTCTTCATTAGCAGTATGTTCAGTTATATAATCCTTTCCTTCAGATGCCCTTACAACCAGAGGAGTGTGCCACCGAGTTTTTGCCAAATGAGAGAGAAGTTGACAGTGACACAGGAAGTCTTTCTGATATAGGTCCAACTCCTTCCTGTTTTCTCCCTACCATGTTTTTCCCTTTGTGGATAAGTGGTCCTAGTTGAAATATGCAGCAGTCATCTTATAATTGTAAGGGCAGAAGTATAAGAAGAACATGCTAAGTACTTCAAAGAATATAAAAAGAACATAGGTCCTTGACAGCAACACCAGCTATTTACTTCCTGATTAGTGAGGAAAAAAAGAACTTATTTATTTTGTTTGTTTGTTTAGGCCCTTGAAATCTACTTCCATTACTTGCAGCTGAACCTACTAACGGACATCATTGTACCGTTACTGTAAATATGTCTGCATTATATACTTGTGGGCAACTGCTTTATCTTATTGATATTCAGATACCTAGTACTCAGTGCCTTGTGTATCACGCTGCAAGTAAATACTCAGTGACTGATTGTTCAATGTGCAAGCAGGTTTTTCTTATGTTTTGGGAGCTGAAATCACCTGATACACAGATATTCTTAAACTCATGGACAATGAATCTAGATCTCAAAAGACTCAGCCTTCATTCAAACAACAATTTAAGCAATAAGGACCATTTCTTCTTTAGTTAGGCCAATTATCTATAAAGCTATGAAGGATAATATCATGAAATCTAATTGACAGTGAGGATTGGGAAACCTGTGTTCGTTATTAAGTAGCAATTTTTGCTAACAAGAGAATACAGAATAAACAAGCTCATGGTTCTGTTATTACAAAAATTTTCAATAATTGAAATGTGTTGCTTCTTCTTAGGTTTAAGGAAATTAATATCTAGGTCTAGATTTGAGATCAATATCTCACATCACCAGTTCAACGCTCTTTCTCTAGCTCCACCTCTCTTTTTCTCTTCTTCCCTCTTTTTGCATATATATGTATGTGTGTGTGTGTGTCACACTGAGTATTAAGCACACTCAACTTTCTTTTGAATGGACTTCAGTTTGCATCAATAATCAGTAAAATTGTATGGAACAACCACGTTCTGAGAATCCAACCAATTGAATGAGCAAAAAATGGGAAGGCAAATTCTGTCTTCCAAACTCACAGGAAAAATACCTCAACCACAATAGAATCAATGATATTAGCATATTTTAAAAGATTGTGTATGGATGTCAGATAAGAAAACTACTGGAAGGCATACAACATTTTCAAGAGAATGGTATCTGGTCTGGAAGGACATGAGCAATTCTATCAGTGTAGAAGTGATTCTGCATTACTTCATGTCTAAGATGCCTTTAATTGTAAATGCACCATTATGTTATGTATAATTAAGAAATAAAGTGTGTGCGTGCGTGTGTGTGTGTGTGTTTTTCTGAGATGGAGTCTCGCTCTGTCACCCACACTGGAGTGCAGCGGTGCAATCTCGGCTTACTGCAACCTCTGCCTCCTGGATTCAAGCAGTTTTCTGCCTCAGCGTCCCGAGTAACTGGGATTACAGGCATCCGCCACCATGCCCTGCTAATTTTTGTATTTTTAGTAGAGACGGGGTTTCACCATCTTGGCCAGGCTGGTCTTGAACTCCTGACCTCGTGATCCACCCACTTCAGCCTCCCAAAGTGCTGGGATTAAAGGCGTGTGCAACCGTGCCCGGCAAGAAAAAAGAAAATTTTTATACTCATTGACGGAGACTTTTTATAAGTATTTAGACATAAGTTTTTGTCACCTATCACTAGCGTGCTTACCTAAGAAGGAAAATATAGATGAAATAAATTGGTTTACAAAATCCTAGCCTTGTTCTTATTTATAATTCAATCCTTCTGAATCACTTATCAACTTAGAGCCATCGGTTTTCATACTTTTTTCTGAATCATCAAAAATGTTCCACTGTCATTTCTGGAGTGTCTTCATGAGAATTTTAACCTGGTATTTTTCAAAGGCTCCTCCACCTTTGTTCCTAGGGTTCTCTTCCAATCTGCTGACGTCCATTCCGTTAGTTCTGCTGCTGCTTACTTGGTGATACCAAAAGTTGTCAGACAATGAAACTAAATCATGACTGCCACCTGGTCAGCCACAATTGTAGACAGAATAAATTGTAGGATACTTAAATGAACTGAAGTGTAGAGCTAAAGAAATTCTCACAATTCAGAATAAAACTAACAAAATGGTGACTATAAATCGATGCTTCAGAGACAAAGAAGATAAAATGAGACAGTAATATATTTATGTGATTACAATATAAAAAAACATGATTAGAGGAGTGTGTATTTAGCAAAATTATATTTTAAGATAATGTAAAATAAGGCTTTTTAAAAAAAGAAATGCAAACTTAGGTTACCACAAACTGACTTTCAGAAAAGAAAATTCTAAAGAATATACTTTCAAGAAAAAGGAAATTTTCCCAAATCAGGGTTTGGAGCATAAGCAGAATGGTGAGCAAAGAAAATTGGTAAACATTTGAGGTGAACTAACATTGTTCACATAAAATAATGATTATCAATATCTAAGTTAAATGCTAAGGATGGGGTTAAGATGTGGATTTAATTATGTTAAATTGGCATGGGCAAATTTTAAGTTCAAACATTAAAATGAAATAGAATTCTAACAAATGGAAGTGCAAAAGATTCAAAAAAATTTTTTAATGAAAAATTTTAGGCTGGCTGCAATAGCTCATACCTGTAATCCCAACATTTTGGGAATCTGAGGCAGGAAAATCATGTGATCCCAGGAGTTTGAGAACAGCCTGGGCAGCATAGCAAGACCCCATCTCAACTAAAAACAACACAAAATTACTCAGGCATGGTGGTGCACACATGTAGTCCCAGCTATGCAGAAAGCTGAGGCGGGAGGGTCATCTGAACACAGGAATTTGAGGCTACAGGTAGCCATGATCATGCCACTGCACTTTAGCTTGGGTGACAGAGCAAGACTCGATCTTTAAAAAGAAAAAAATAATTTTAAAAAATAACATAAAGTATGACAAAAATACAGTTATAAGATGGTAGGCATGGTCCCAATATGGTAATACTACTAATAATATCATTCTACTAAACTCACCAGGTAGAAAATAGAAATTTTCCTGGTGGATTTTTAATACTAATCACCATCACCATCAACAAAATATCCTGTGATAATATAGGTCACATTGGGGTACATAGAAGAGATTTATAGCACACATCATCAGCCCTGTAAACTTTGAAGGGCTAATGGAGTCAATATCTCAGCACAGGGGTTGACTCACCCACCCACAGTACACACAGTACACTAGAAAGCACACTCACTGGGGAGCTTTGGTACACCAACAGGCTGGAGATGATCACCTGATAGTCATGGCTGGGAAAAGAATAGAAATCCATTTTATGTGATGTCAATGGTTGATTTTAGCACCATTTAAAAATAAATATTTCATGGGATCTTAGAATTTTAAGGGTTCTGATAGATCATCTATCTATTCTAGTCTTTAATTTCATAGAAGACACTAAGACCCTATGCCCAATTAAGCAATTTTCCTTCCTGCATTTGATGAACAAATAAAAGATATGTAGAGAATGAATCAAGAATGAATCACACCTTTTTATTATTAGACGCAAGCCCAAGGAAAAATATGAGCATGCTAAAAGTGTGTTTTTTTTTCTAAACTAATGCAAAATAATAATTCTATCCATTTTCAAGAAGCCATCCATTCAGCAGGGCTGCTCAGGAAACAGGGAGACAGGAGGGAGAATATACCTAGATACACAGAATAATGGAATAATCTCTGATTATTCATAAAAAAGGGAAGATGAGGAAGGTAATTCGTTTACTGGGTAAAATAATTCCTTTACTTGGTAATTGCTTTACTTGGACACAATATGCTGGTATTGTGTCAGGTGAAGTCAACATGACAACCCAGTATAGTGAGTATTATTCTTACCATTTTAAAGACTAGGAAACCAAGTTTCAATCTAGGTTACATTAATCATTCATTATTTAGCCATTTGTACTTTCTTTAGCTAATACATGCTGAAGATGTAATTAAAACACAGACTTCTCTGACTTCAAAACTCATGCTGACTTCACAGATGACACTCCAATCCAATTCTGCTTACTTTATAATTTTTCCTAGAGTTTAATTGATAACAATTATAACAAAATGCTTGTTAACCTATTAATAATATGTTTGTTAGTAGCTAAATTGAGATAGTCTTCATTGTGTGAAGTGTAAAACAGCCCTGACAAAGAAGATATTTAAGGAATGTAATTGTATCAGACAAGAGTCTTTCAGAAAACAAATGACACACTCAAATGGAGTAATTAAAAGTTAATAAAGGTTTTAGTCGGGTTAAAAAAACAAAATTAAAGGGATTAAAAAAAAAGCATCCCCGATAGCAAGAGAGGGAGTTAACACCTCCATGCCTGTGGGAATTGGGTGAAGGAGCTCAATCCCCAAAAGACAAAGATAAGAAAGAAATCCATAAGAAAGTCACCAATAGGAGTTCTAGTTTTGGCTAAGGGAATACAATCACAATTTGTGTCTTAGCAGGGAAGATGCTGGAGAAGTTAATACCCCAACTCTACTCTTCTTCTGACCTTTGACTTTTGCCAGTGCCTCTCATTGACCCTAAAAAAAAGAAGGCAAAGGAGCCTGATGATGAAATCCACACTTGACAGCTTCATGGGCAGAGATCAAGGTGGAAATGTTAGATGCATTAGTAATTAGGCCAGTTTACCTTTTTAGACTCAGATACATGAGATCTATTATTACTTACTATACTAATTATATTTGCAAGGGATTAAAGAGAAAATTTTCAGGCCAGGAGAATATTTCTGTAGAAATAAGATTTTCTTTTTACATGAACTAAAATTTTAGAACAAAATTCAAATTTACAAATTTATTTAACTCATAAGGCAAACATTAGCTTGTAGTTTACTTACGAAAATATTTGCAAGAAATTTGCAAGTAAAAGAAAAAGTTTACTTTTTTTTCTTTCTTGTGGAAAACTACTAAAAGTTTGTAGGAATCTGGGAAGAAGCTATATTCTAGTTCACTTAAAAAATAAAAATACGCTTTCCTATTTAAGATACCAAATTAATATATTATGCATGAAAATAAAGAAAACCCATATTAAATATTTTTGCCATTGTTTTCTCTTCTGTTGTTCTGACTCTGACTACATCTCAGTCTCCAATATTATGGCACAAAAACTTAACCCTTCAGAGCGTGAATTTACCTTCTACTTCTCAAACTTTCACCCATTTTTTTGTTTAGAAAAAAAAGTGCAGCTTGTTGCCAGCGTTCATTTAATATTACAAAAACATGCTCTTGAGACTGAAGCACATCTGACTGATTTTCAATATGAAAATACATTAGAAAAACTGTTTTTGGAGTTATTCCTAAACAGAACTTGTCTCTAACCTTAATGTAACAGAAATGTATATGATAATCAGTATTTAATAATTTTTTTATGTGTGTGTAGTAAATTTTAAAACATGAAACAGCCGAGTGGGGTGGTTCACGCCTATAATCCTAGCACTTTGTACTTTGGGAGGCTGAGGTGGGCAGATCACTTGAGGTCAAGAGTTCAACTCTAGCCTGGCCAACATGGTGAAACCACGTCTCTATTAAAACTACAAAAAAAAAAAAAATTAGCCTGGTGTGGTAACCAGTGCCTGTAATCTCAGCTACTTAGGAGGCTGAGGCTGGAGAATTGCTTGAACCTGGGAGGTGAAGGTTGCAGTGAGCCTAGATTGTGCCATTGCACTCCAGCCTGGGTGACAGAGCAAGACTGTCTCAAAAATAATAATAATAATAAATAAATATATAAATAAAAATAAATAAATAATAAAGCATGGAACAACACAAAGAAGAATATCACATCCTGCACAAAAAATATTGCACTTCTCTCCAGATCTTGCCATCCTTGTTGTGCGAGCAGCAAACTTGGCAGCCACCAGTTAGATTCTGTTTCCCTGATGGTGATATGTTCTTGGGGAATTGTCTTCCAGACAGGCAAAAAGGTGTGACATCATCACAGCACAGATGACCTCAAAGATGCTGCTGCCATGGTTTGTGATGCTTTTCCAGCAGTCTTTCAATCAGTATCAGTCTGAAGTTGACATGGTTAATCGTGTGCTCAGGATTGTCTTTCTTGAACAGGATGCAGGATTCAGCACTGTAATGTTTAGAATGGGGAGAAAGAATTATAGCGAACCTTGTGCCTTTGTGCTCAGTTGGATAAGTGATCAGCCTAGTCCACTCCTCTCATATTCTTGTTATAATCCACAATGGCACATGGCTTCTTAGTCTTCTTTCCATTTCTGTTGTCCACTTCAATCAAAGTATCTTTGTGGAATGTCGATAGCTTGTCACCTCCTTCTTTTTCACACCATTTCAGTGCAATAAGTTCACCGCAGAATTAACATCATGCGTAGGAATGTTACTTTTTCTGGGACGTGATGTTTTCAGTGATCAAGATTTACTGTATTTTGTAAATGGAAATACCATTACTAAAAACAGAACGCTATAAATAGAATGATGTCTTTTGTTTCCAAAGTGGATATACTAGAGTGATGCTAAAATAATAATAAAGTAATAATAAAAGCAAACTTTGAAGGTAAGGTTAGGACTGAAATCTATGAGTTTTCTCAAGGTGTACGCTGCAGCTGCAAGCACCACTGGCGATTATTCTTGGGGCAAAAAGGAAATGGGAAGTTGAGGAAGTTCATCTTTGATGATAAAATCAAGGTATAATTGAAGGAGGAGAAGAAAAGAGAAAGTGAGCCTAAGAACTACACATTCTCTTAGAATTCAAACGTAGGATTCTGAGGCCAGATTGGATTTCATTTGACTAGCCTGGTGGTTTCACAGTTCGGAATCTAAATGCCCTTAGGCATGTATACATTTTTCAGTTTGTCATGGTCCTTATTTAATAAGACTTCTTGCTGTCTTATTATATACATTTCACCTATAAGTTTTGGTTCTATATTTTATATTACAAATCTACTTCCCATTGTAAGAGTTCTTTCATAAAATTTAAAGATTTTAAAAGATTGATACTATCATCTAGTTTCTTCACGTGGGAGTAGCCCAATTCCTCCCAGTTTTTCCCTCTTAAGACTAAATAAGCCTGGACATAGCACAGCAAAAAACAGAGAAAGACTCTGAAAGGTGGAAAGTGAGGCAGCCTGGGGAACTTGAGACTGAAAGATTGCCATGGAAGTGAGTTCTCTGGTTTTAATTCCCCACATAACCTAGACAGGGCATCATAAAAGCCTCTAAGTGGGAACTACCAAGAGATATAGAAAAAAAATCTCCAAGGAAATGCTTGTTTCTCCTAGCCAAAGAGTCAGGACCAGGATAGCCAAAAATAGAAAATGTTTTTTACAACACCTGCCCTATTCCAGACAAACACTTATGGTAAAAGTACATCTTACTCCTTGTGGTTTTAGCGTGGCTGAGTAGAAACTTGATTTTCCACCTAACCCCTCTGGCCGCAAGAACATATATGTATTCTTTTATTCATTTATTCATTTAACCTCTTTCTCTAAGATTTTCCAGTTAATATATGTTTTTGGATAGAGAAATCATTTAGACACACTTGGATTTAATATAATATTTTTAATTTTACTTCATATATTGACTTCCTAAGGGAAACAAAGAGTAAAAAACCACGTCTCACCTCTTTAAACTGTAGTTATATGTCCCATTCTTAATCTAGTTGACTAGCTTATTTATTTATCTTTAAATCAATTCAATTCCAAACATGTTTTGTTTTGTTTTGCTCAGCACAAATTCTTCTGACGTGATCTTTTAATCTCATCTCTACAACTTCTGTTTATTTCAAGATTTTGCTTGTCCTTTACTTAATTTTTAATCTTTAATTTTAATTATGATTTTTCTATATTTGAAAGTGATTTTCTGTATGCTTTCATGAGATTTAGCCTTTCTATTACAGTTAAATTCTTACATTTTGTTGTTTTTTGATTTACCTTATCAATAAAATAGTACAATTTGTTATGATTATTAAGCTGCATACCAATTAGGCTACACTCATGCAAGATGTAAGTGTGGACAGTGGAGTCCCTGAGGGCAGAACACCCTACTTGCCCCTCAAGTGTTCCCAAGTGGATTTTATCAGTTTCCACAAGATAGCGATGCCTTCCACCATGGGATGACCGTTGCCAGGTGCCAGCATCTTGCTCGTAGACTTCTCAGTCTCTAGAAACATGAACCAAATAAACTTCTGTTTTTTTTTTTTTAATTTATTACCCAGTCGGAGGTATTCTTTTACAGCAGCAGAAAACGGGCTAAGACAGACACTCTGGCCAATGTTGAAACAATAGGATCCTCTGGCTGTTTCACACCTAGCATAAGAACTAGCTTGTTACCATGGCAATTAAACTTCAACATATGTTTAGGAGGGGACATGTAAACGATAGCAATGTCCCTGTGTTTTGATTTACACTGCTTCTTTTAATTTATGTTAGGTGCATTAGGGGTACCGTTTTCTCTTTTTAAATGTTTTACAGGAAAAATATTGCCTATTAATGATATTTTCTTGGAAAAAGGTTTGACCATTGATGATAATATTAGTCACTTGAGAATTTCTTTATGTTTTGCAAATACTTTCACATCTGAGTTTTCCTCAGCTTTCAAATCTGTTTCTAGATTGGTAATTCAATTAAATACAATTATTACATACTGGGAGAATATGTGCACTAAGGATATTTGAAGTGTTTATGAGACTGAAACCTAAAAATCATGATTTTGGGGTTCTGAAATTCACTAGAAGATTGGCAGATAAAAATTAATGAGAGAAGAATATGTGATTATAGTTATTAAATCTATAAAGCTAATATAGAAAAGAAACAATATGAGTGATGCTGATATTAAATCATCTTGGTTAATAGGAAGGAGTTTGATTTTCTTTATTTGCAGCGATTAATGAAAGAGGCATGATGAAAGAGATAGAAGCTTGCATCCACAAAAATATTGATTCTGACCCTAACTGTCCTTTCTTGATGTTCCATAGTGATTTCAAGTTTTTAAATTGAACGCTTGGGCTTTAGAATTTTAACTTCAGGATTAGTCCATTTTCACACTAATGATAAAGACACACCCAAGACTGGACAATTTACAAAAGAAAGAGGTTTATTGGACTTACAGTTCTGCATGGCTGGGGAGTGCTCACAATCATTTGAGAAGGCAAGAAGGAGTAAGTCATCTCTTACGTGGATGGCTGCAGGCAAAGAGAGAGCTCATGCAGAGAAATTCCCATTTTTAAAGCTGTCAGTTCTGAGACCCATTCACTATCACAGGAATAGCACGGGAAATACCTGCCCCCATGATTCAGTCATCTCCCACTGGGCCCTTTCCACAGCGCATGGTAATTGTTGGAACTACACAATGAGATTTGGGTGGGGACACAGAGTCAAACTATATCAGGTTTGGACCATGATATCCATTTTTAATTTTCAGTCCTGGATTCCTCTGTTGCTTCTTTATAATTTCCTTGAAGGTATTTCAAAAAATATCAAAGGGTGGTAAATCTTCCCACATAATATATAGCCATTCATTCAGTCATCCATTCAGCTAATCAACACATGCTTATTGAGCACCTAGAAAATATTAGACATTGTGATATAAAATGGGGATACAACAAAACATTTGAGTATCTCATAGTCTTTTACAGAAATTTGCAATCTAATACCTTCAACTTTTTAGATCTTGGCTTCCTAAATTGTAAAAAAATCAAATATTTTCATCATCATTTCTGATATTCTCTCCTAAATGAACGAAGCTACCACCCCCCCTTGCATTAGATCCCTTTACTTACAAAATTTACTTCCAATAAGCTTATCAAGAGGTTTTCAGCCAGCGTTAGCCAGCTTAATGTATACATATTAAATAACCCCCTCCCCCCCAATATAATCACCTAATATGAAAAGTAAAGAAAAAACAAGATGTGAATGCTTTGGAAATGTGACTATGTTTGTGTTAGTGATGGCACCAGAGGGGCCAACATTACTGACAGGAAAATTAATTAGTGGCTGCCACAAAATTCTGAAGGCTGACACTGTTCTTTTTTCCTTTGAGAAACAAAACATGCAATTACAGTTCTGGAAAATAAAATTTATTAGGATGTATTGGCAGCATTGACTTAAAATGTTGTACTTTGAAAATTATACTCTGCAACTAAAGTATGTCAATAAATACAGCTACACAAAACTCAAATGTAGTTTAAATAAAAATACCATTATATATTTTATTTTTTATATTACCCTAAAATCCAAGTTATAGAGAAGAAAACACCCAGTACACTTTGAGGAATTATTCCCTCTATGAAACATAAAACATAGTTTTTCTTTTCTGGAGGGTTTTAATTCAGTACTAGGCTCTGAACTGTGCGGAAGCAGAATTTAGGGATCAAAATTGTTTTGATACTTATTTGGGGATCAGGAATATTTGTAACTGCAAGCAACAGCACTAATGATTTGATTCTTTGGCCTCCAGATATTTAATTGCAGGAAAAATATAGTTTTTCTCTTCTGGGGCCTGGGGGTTGGTGGTTTAATTCAGCACTAATCCCTGAACTGTGCAGAAGCCAAATTTAGGGATCAAAACTGTATTTATACCTATTTGGGGATCCGTATTATTCGCAACTGCAAGCAACATTACTAATGATATAAGTCTTTGGCCTCCAGATATCTCATTGCAGGAGTTTGGGTAGAGATGACTAAGAGACAGTAGAGAATCTTGCCCCCACTGACCCCAATATCCCTGGAAAGAAAGCTGTTCTGTGAAGTAGAATGACCCTGAATTTATTCACCATGAATTTCCAGTCTGTTAATTTGCTGTAAGGGAAATGCTTCTGAGT
Organism: Homo sapiens; assembly: GCF_000001405.40. NCBI lineage: Eukaryota > Metazoa > Chordata > Mammalia > Primates > Hominidae > Homo > Homo sapiens. The sequence continues at coordinate 49,111,073 of NC_000006.12, read as the reverse complement.
TAGATTAATGAAAATTTTTATACCAAGAATTTGTAACAGATGGCCATGCTGTGAAATTGCTTTCATTTGGCCCCACAGACACAGGTTAGACTTGTTGAAACAACTAGGCTTATAAAAATGTGAAGACATTTATATAATTCAACTATTTAAAGAGCAAAGAGCTGTAATCCTAACATAAAGCTGTCATTTCCCAACTAGTGGTATGTGTTATATAAAATGTATTATGTAATACATCATGTTATATAATGTGTATTGTGGTACATAAAATGAGGTCATCAGAGCAAATACTTTCAGAAAGTGCACTGACTTAAACAAAATTAAATGCGCTATTTAATTGCAAGACTTCTTGGAAAATTTGCAATCACAATTGGTTCTATGTCTCTGCCATTAAAAGATGCATATTAACCATCTTTCTCAATAATTGCTAAGCTCAGGAAGAACCCTTTTGTCCTATTTCTTCCCCTCCATATCAGATGAATCCTAAATTGCAATTAATTCTAAAATTAATTGCAGGAGCTAAACTGATCTCATAAATCATCACATTTCTTATTTTGAAAATAAAGAAATGGAGGAAAGGAGAGATATGTTGATTTATCAAATGTCACATTTGACGTAATTTGTATGCATGCCTTCGTAGATTGAGTTTTTATAAAAAGAAACCTGAAAAATATTGAAACATTAATCCTATGAAAATTATGTTATGTTGAATAAAGTATAAATATTGGAATAAGTGGCTGTTACCTATTAATTTAATAGACAACATATACTACATATAGATTATTATTTTATATTGAACTAAATTATGTCACTTAATTTCATTGCTGTGTTCATTTTTTTAACAGCTAAAGCATGAAGAAAAAAGAAAATTATCAGATTTTACAGTGATTTCCAGGTTTCTTGAACTATTGTACAAGTATAACTTAGTGCAAGTAAGATGTATATAAAAATATACATAGATATTTTATCTTCCATTGAGCAACTATAAATTTTTCTTCGTGAAGGTGGACGAGTTGCAAGGGAGAGATGGCACTGAGGGAGGTAAACAGGTGAGAGGAAGCCACACAACAAAGATTGTCAGGCCTGCAGTTCCTTCCTTCTTTTTCAGTGGTTCATGGGAAAGATGATGATGGCTTGGAATTTGGAAGTAGTGATGGAGATGGGGAAGAGTAAACAGATTAAGAGACAATTAGGAGATAATACTGACAAGACAGGTGTTATAAGTTTGATATGAAAAATGGGTAGCATAAAACCACTTGATTACTCTATTTTTGAGGCTGTGGAACTAGAGAAATCAGTGTGCCATTTACTGAAATAGCAAAAGAGAGAAGATGGTGAGGCTGTGAAAAAACAATTATAGGTCCTGTTTAGAACATTCAGAGTTGGAGATGCCTTTGAGTATATGGGAGAAAACATCAACCTAGATATGGAGTTCAAATGGGAGTCCTAAGCTAGAAATACATATTTGGAAATCATGCAGGTTGGGGTTATGGGTGTGAATGAGAATGCCCAAGGAGAATACTCTGGAAAAATAAGAGGCCCTAGAACTCAACCTTGGATGTCTGTATAATTAATGTCTTAGAAGAGAAGGGTGAACCTAAAACAATGAAAGAAAATGGAAACATAAAAGGAAAATCATGAGTGTCAGAACATAGAAGCTAATGAAAAAGACTCTTACAAAAATAAGTAGTTAACAATATTGAATGATGCCGATAAAGAAATGATTTAGGATGAGAATTGACAAAGGATCTTAAAAGTTACATAAAGCTCGGGAAAACTAGAAACTGTAAGCAAAGAACCAGGGAGATCTCTTGACACAAAGCTGGGATAAAAATCCTAAAACTCTCTCTTTATTTTGAAAGAAACCTGCCAAGTTCACATTTAGCATGCAATAAAAAGGTTTCTCCTTATCTGGTGATAATATAGTGGTAAAATCAAAATGTAATATTTAAAAATTGTTAAATTGTAGCCCAATATTTATTTTTAAAGGTGTTTCAATAATATTTTCTAATTCACTGTTCAATATCTGCTATGTTAATATACTTTTTTTTTTCAGCAAAAGAATAAAAGTTTTCCATTCCTAATGACTTTCATCTAACCCGAGGCTCAAATCATTCTTTGTTATATGGAAACAGCATATGTAAATTGCAGGTTCTGACGTTGAGCTTTGAATTTTAAATCATCCAACTGAAAAATCTGAAATAGAGGCAGTTTTTAACAGGAAGAATGATTAAACATGGACAAGATCCACTCTGTAGCTAGTTGTAGAGGAAGTGAATCTGGCAGAACACTTCAGTCGTTGTGAAGATTGGTGTAACTTAGAGGCTGTCTTCTAAAAAGAAGTCAAAATGGCTGCTAAATTTGTTTTTCTTTAAGAAATTTCTGGGTTTCGAGTTTTTCCTTAATTATAATGCTATATTTCCTTAGTTTGTCAGTTGTGGTCAGGAAGTCAGCCAATCAAAATATTTTTTCATAATTGAGGGAAATGACAAATATGTCAAATGACCACATCAAGACTGAAATAAACCTCACAATCTAAAGACTAACAGCCTGAGATAATCCCTCATTAGAAAGATGATGGCAAATAATAACAGAATTCCAAAGCTGATAGAAATGCAGGGAGGAGGATCCTATATACCACCAATAGTGATTATTTAAAAATAATTTGTATTTGACAATGCAAGTAGTAGAATATGAGCATAAACATCATTGTAGTAAAGAAGACTGCTTTATAAGCAGATTTATGAAGTCAGCAAGGAATGAAAGAATGTTAAAAAAGACCAGAAAAATATAGTGTCTGAAATCTAACTTTGGTAGGTCAGTACTTAATATTTAATATTAGCAAGACTTTTCCCTAACCCTAACTCTGAAGTTATTCTAGCCTGTTTACATTTGTTTCTAAAAAATAATCAAACATGTAAAATGAGCAGTTAGAGATCAGCCTGGGCAACATAGCAAGACTGCATCTCTACAAAAAAAAAATACAATAAAATAAATTAGCTAGGTATAGTGGTGCACCCCTGTAGTCCCAGTTGCTTTGGGAGGCTGAGTTGGGAGGATTGCTTGAGCCCAGGAGTTCAAAGCTGAACTGAGCTATGATTGCACCACTGTACTCCAGCCTGGGTGACAGAGCAAGACCTTGCCTAAATCAATCAATCAATCAATATGTAAAATAAAATGAGCAATGACTACATTCAACCCAGAAGGCAAGATGGTAAGAATGCTACTTCTTGATTGATTATGGGAAACAGCCAGGATGATAGAGAGATGACAATATGGCAAAATGGGTAAAGTCCTAATCGGCTCACTTGTGTTAGGACTTTAGCAGAACAACAAAGGTGAGGAGGGATCCTCTGCCTCTCTTTTTACTGTCTCTCTCAGTTTTGAGTTGATGGCCTAGCACTGCACTAGGCCCCACTAGCACTAGCTAGTGAGTTGATGGCACTAGCACTGGAGGAATAGGCCCCATTAATTCTAATTCAGAATCTACCATAAATCTAGGGATTCTACTAGTTCAGGGTTTCTCAACCTCAGCACTATGGACATCTTGAGCTGAAATATTCTTCATTATGGGGCTGTCTAGAGCATTGCAGAACATTTAGCAACATCCCTACACTCTACTCACTATATCCTAAATAAAAACTCAAAATGTATCCAGATATTTACAAATGTCTTTTGGGAAGGAAAATCATCATTTTTTTTAAGGACTGGGGCACCTAAATGAGAAGCAGCATTTGAGGTACCAGGAAAATTGTACTCTCCCAAGGAATTTGCAGATTTAAACAGACACACCTTCCCACAGTTCTGTATAAGAAACCATCGAAAGCAAATGTATAAAGAGGGCCATTTTGATGTATGGCCATTACTTTGCTTCTTCCTCAGTTACTAAGCTGTTTTGGACGTGTTCCTGACTTAATTTTCCTATGATATACTCAGGAAAATAGGGATGTTTTGTGTTGAGAAAGATATTTATTAAAAAGAAATGGTCTATTCAGAGATTCAACTTCTTCCTGGTTTAGTCTTGGGAGGGTGTATGTGCCGAGGAATTTATCCATTTCTTCTAGATTTTCTAGTTTATTTGCGTGGAGGTGTTTATAGCATTCTCTGATGGTAGTTTGTATTTCTGTGGCATCAGTGGTGATATCCCCTTTATCATTTTTTACTGCGTCTATTTGATTCTTCTCTCTTTTCTTCTTTATTAGTCTTGCTAGTGGTCTATCAATTTTGTTGATCTTTTCAAAAAACCAGCTCCTGGATTCATTGATTTTTTGAAGGGTTTTTTTTTGTGTCTCTATTTCCTTCAGTTCTGCTCTGATCTTAGTTATTTCTTGCCTTCTGCTGGCTTTTGAATGTGTTTGCTCTTGCTTCTCTAGTTCTTTTAGTTGTGATGTTAGGATGTCAATTTTAGATCTTTCCTGCTTTCTGTTGTGTGCATTTAGTGCTATAAATTTCCCTCTACACACTGCTTTGAATGTGTCCCAGAGATTCTGGTATGTTGTGTCTTTGTTCTCGTTGGTTTCAAAGAACATCTTTATTTCTGCCTTCATTTCGTTATGTACCCAGTAGTCATTCAGGAGCAGGTTGTTCAGTTTCCATGTAGTTGAGAGGTTTTGAGTGAGTTTCTTAATCCTGAGTTCTAGTTTGATTGCACTGTTGTCTGAGAGACAGTTTTATATAATTTCTGTTCTTTCACATTTGCTGAGGAGTGCTTTACTTCCAACTATGTGGTCAATTTTGGAATAGGTGCGGTATGGTGCTGAAAAGAATGTACATTCTATTGATTTGGGGTGGAGAGTTCTGTAGATGTCTATGAGGTCTGTTTGGTGCAGAGCTGAGTTCAATTCCTGGATATCCTTGTTAACTTTCTGTCTCATTAATCTGTTAATGCTGACAGTGGGGTGTTAAAGTCTCCCATTATTATTGTGTGGGAATAATTTTCAGCCATAAAAAATGATGAGTTCATGTCTTTTGTAGGGACATGGATGAAGCTGGAAACCATCATTCCCAGCAAACTATCCCAAGGACAAAAAACCAAACACCACATGTTCTCACTCATAGGTGGGAATTGAACAATGAGAACACATGGACACAGGAAGAGGAACATCACACACACACTGGGGACTGCTGTGGGGTGGGGGAGGGGGGAGGGATAGCATTAGGAGATATACCTAATGTTAAATGAAGAGTTAATGGGTGCAGCACACCAACATGGCACATGTATACATACGTAACAAACCTGCACATTGTGCACATGTACCCTAAAACTTAAAGTATAATTTAAAAAAGTGTGACCTCTAAAACATAGATCTAGTTACATTTATGGTATAACAATATAAAATGCAAACTATCTCATATATATATAGTAAAACTTATTCTTAATTCTCAGAATCAAGCTAAGACTAACTTGTCCACTTTTTTCATCCTTAAACAGAAGCATACATAGAATATATATATATTCTATGTATATATAATATATATGATATATATTTATATATTTATATATATTTATATTTATATATACTTTATATATAATATATATTATATATAATATATATTTATTATATATAATATATAGATATATAATATATAATACTTCTTGATTGAAGTATTATATATTATATATATTATATATAATATATAAATATATATTTATATTATATATAAAATATATATAATATAAATATATATAATAAAATATATATTTTATATATATTTTAATATATAAAATATATACAATATATAATAAATTAAAAATATATATAAGATATATAATATAATATATATCTTGTATATATTATATTATATATCTTATATATAGTATATAATATATATCTTATATAATATATAATATATATCTTATATATATTATATATAATATATATCTGATATATTATATATATTATATATCTTATATATATATAATATATATATATAATATATATAATATATAAATATAAATATAAATATAAATATATTTTTATATAAAATATATACTATATATAATATATATTATATAAATAAAATATATATAATATATATTATATACATTATATAAATAAAATATATATTATATATTATATATAATGTATATATTTAATATATATTTTATATATATATATATATATCCCAAGACCCAAACTAATTTTGTAGCAATCAACTCAGTGACTTACATTTGTAATTAGAATAGTATTATTATCTGTGGTGCTATATTATGCATTTGTTTCCATAGAGCACTATCCTTATGTTCTGATGTACTTAATAGCCTCTTGATTTTATATATAAAGTAATTTTCATGATGCTGTGTCTCTAAAAAATATAAATAAAATAAAGTAAAATAAAAAGAAATGGTAGAGAAACTCATATAACTGTATTACCAAAAATGTATTTAATTTTATTAATTCTTTCTGATGGCAAGGTTACTTCAAAATTAAGAGTGGAGTGAATTTAAATTGTATAAAGCTGTAAATCACATACAGTTTATTTCATTTAGTGTACAAAGTAACTGGAACTAGCTTACCACTAGTAAGAACTTCCACTTGTGTAAAGCTTCACTCATTTAAAAATGGTATATATAGTATTTAACTTACAGTATTCTCTTAAATTGACGTTATTGTTATTCTCTTTTTTAAGATAAAGAAGTTATGGGTCAAAGAAGCTAAATGACTTGCCCAGGATCTGTGACCTTGGGTCTAAGGTAATAAGTAGTGTGAAGTAGAAAGTATCAAGGAATCTAATGTTTAAAAATATGTAAGTCATCATAATTAAAAGACAAATTTTAAACAAATAACAAATATAAAGAGCCTGAAATTATTCTTAAAGAAATGAAACTGGCATTTTACAACCTTGTTTGCATTGATACTTGCTATATAACCCCCGCCCCGACCCCTTTTCTAGACCTTTAAGCCTAGAAAGCTCAGGGCAGCCCTGGTAAGAACTATTGGCAAATATTAATGAAAGTTGTTCTGTACCATGAGAAAGGACACCTTCCTTATGTTGTTATTCCATGTTCAGTGCTGTAGGACTACAGAAAAAAAGAAAAGAAAAACAACTTTGCCCTTCATTGTAGTCTTCTATCAAGAACATAGCAGCAGAGCAGATGTCAAAAGCATACTCAGCATATTGGGAAGAAAATTTGTTCATCAGCTGCTAACTATGGGGAGCAATGGCAGGGCTTGAAATCTGGAAAAAATGGGGTTTAGAAATCTGAAGTGAATTCCCTAGACAGGCTTGAAGCAGGAGATAAGATGATTGCAGAGCAAATAAGCAGTAGAGCTAACTCAGATGCAACCAGTCATGCTGTCTTGTGACTTACAAAGAAAAAAAGTTTAACATAATTGTGGCATTTACTATGAAAGTAGTTAAAAGCCTACTATTGCTAAATAGGAAAGGCAAATCATAAAACATAATGTTTGCTATATGAGTTTATTTTAATAAATTTTATGTGTATACTTACGGGTATATTTATTCCCAGAGAGAAAGTAACGTATTTCAAGAGAAAAGGGTAAAAACGTATGTGGGGTGAAGTGGAAGTATAATATGTATAATTTCTATTTCCTTCTTTCAGGATTACCAGTTGTTTCTGAGGCTCTTTATGATTAACATTTGTTATATATGACATATTGTACATTATTAGAGTTACTGAAGACCCATGTAATATAGAGAACAGCGTATGCCCTAATCTAACATTTGAAAGACCATGCAGTTAAAAATGTGCCAAAATAAATAATAGCTAAAATATCACCAAGTTTGGCAAAATACATAAACTTAGAGATTCAAGAAAGTAAGAGAACTCAAACAGGATAATTTAAAAGAAAACCACATCAAGCCAAAAAGAGAAAAAAAATTGAAATTAGGGAGAAAGAAATAACACCTTGCCTACACGGGAGAAATGATTTGAATGTCAGAAGACTTCTCATCAGAAATCATAAAGATGAGAAGGAAGTGGCATAACAGTTTTCAGTTCTTGAAAGAGAAGCACTGTCAATCTGGAATTTTACATCCAGTGAAAATAACCCTTTCCAGAATAAAGGAGAAATCAAGACATTCTCAGAAGAAAGAAAGCTAGGAGAATTTGTTCCCAATAGATGGCCTTAAAAACAATTACAAAGGGCAATTCTTTAAAGAGATAGAAAATTATAAAAGCAAGGATCTTGCTACTTCATTGTGGCTGAGCCAATATTCAAGCTGCAAGACAAAGTCTCCTTTACTCTTCCCTCTCCTTTGCTCAAGCCCAAGGAGTCTGTCCCTTTAGCTACCACAGCTGAGAACGTACTGGGTAACACCTGAGTATAGCAGGGCTCTGAGTTTCACACAAGGCCCCTGGCAAGTCCCCTGGCAAGCACTACCACTGATGATTTTTCAGGGCCAAAGAACTCTTTAGTTGGTAGGTAATAAGTCCTGCCAGGGCTAGGTTCCTCCCTTTAAGAGAGCAGGTTCCTTTCTGGTCCAGGGTGTGTCTAGATATGTTGTCCACAACTAGGACCTGTAATGAGAGACCTCAGGACTCTACCTGTTGCCCTATTCTACTGTGGCTGAGCTGGTATACAATTTGCAAGACGAAGTCCTCTTTACTTTCTCTTCTCCTCTTCTCAAGCAGAAGGAAGGAGTCTATGCCAGAGCTGTGAACTGTGCTGCCTGAGGTTGGGGGAGGGGCAATGCAAAAACTTCCTAGGCTTCCCAGCCTCATGTCTCACTAGGTTGCATGCACCCCAAGTGCGCTAGTTTTGAGTCCCCCAAGCACACAGATTTTCTCCCTGTACTATGTGGCTATTGTCAAAGGATGGAGGATGAGTGGTGTAGGTAATTCACAACTGTTGTTTTTACCCTCTTAAGTGCATCTTCCCTTAATATCATGTCAAAACTTTGTACTGTATTCACCCACCTGATTTTTAGTTTACTTGAAGGTGCTTTTTTGTGTGGATAGTTGTTTAGTTTGGTGTTACTGCAGGGGTTATGATCACTGGAGACTTCCATTCAGCCATCTTGTTGTGCCTCCCTCTCTATCATTATTATTATTATTAATTTTTGCCTCTACTTTTTTTATTACACTTTAAGTTCTAGGGTACATGTGCACAACATATGTGTACATTGTTACATATGTATACATGTGCCATGTTGGTTTGCTGCACCCATTAATTCATCATTTACATTAGGTATTTCTCTTATTGCTATCCCTCCCCCATGCCCCAACCCCATGACAGGCCTCATTGTGTGATGTTCCCCGCCCTGTGTCCAAGTGTTCTCATTGTTCAATTCCCACCTATAAGCGAGAACATGTGGTGGTTGGTTTTCTGTCCTTGCGATAGTTTGCACAGAATGATGGTTTCCAGCTTCATCTATGTCCCTACAAAGGACAGGAACTCATCCTTTTTCATGGCTGCATAGCATAGTATTCCACAGTGTATATGTGCCACATTTTCTTAATACAGACTATCGTAGCTGGACATTTGGGTTGGCTCCAAGTCTTTGCTATTGTGAATAGTGTCGCTATAAACATACGTGTGCATGTATCTTTATAGTAGCATGATTTATAATCGTTTGGGTATATACCCAGTAGTGGGATCACTGGATCAAATGGTATTTCTAGTTCTAGATCCTTGAGGAATCGCCACACTGTCTTCCACAATGGTTGAACTAGTTTACACTCCCACCAACAGTGTAAAAGCGTTCCTGTTTCTCCACATCCTCTCCAGCACCTGTTGTTTCCTGACTTTTTAATGATCGCCATTCTAACTGGTGTGAGATGGTATCTCATTGTGGTTTTGATTTGCATTTCTCTGATGGCCAGTGATGATGAGCATTTTTTCATGTGTCTGTTGGCTGCATAAATGTCTTCTTTTGAAAAGTGTCTGTTCATATCTTTTTCCCACTTTTTGAAGGGGTTGTTTGATTTTTTCTTGTAAATGTGTTTGAGTTCTTTGTAGATTCTGGATATTAGCCCTTTGTCAGATGAGTAGATTGCAATTTTTTTCTCCCATTCTGTTGGTTCCCTGTTCACTCTGATGGCAGTTTCTTTTGCTGTGCAGAAGCTCTTTAGTTTAATTATATTCCATTTGTCTATTTTGGTTTTTGTTCCCATCGCTTTTGGTGTTTTAGTCATGAAGTCCTTGCCCATGCCTACGTCCTGAATGGTATCGCCTAGGTTTTCTTCTAGAGTTCTTATGGTTTTAGGTCTAACATGTAAGTCTTTAATCCATCTTGAATTAATTTTTGTATAATGTGTAAGGAAGGGATCCAGTTTCAGCTTTCTACCTATGGCTTCTTCCTGGTTTAGTCTTGGGAGGGTGTATGTGTCGAGGAATTTATCCATTTCTTCTAGATTTTCTAGTTTATTTGCCTAGAGGTGTTTATAGTATTCTCTGATGGTAGTTTGTATTTCTGTGGGATTGGTGATGATATCCCCTTTATCATTTTTTATTGCATCTATTTGATTCTTCTCTCTTTTCTTCTTTATTAGTCTTGCTAGTGGTCTATCAATTTTGTTGATCTTTTCAAAAAACCATCTCCTGGATTCATTGATTTTTTTGAAGGGCTTTTTTGTGTCTCTATTTCCTTCAGTTCTGCTCTGTTCTTAGTTATTTCTTGCCTTCTGCTAGCTTTTGAATGTGTTTGCCCTTGCTTCTCTAGTTCTTTTAATTGTGATGTTAGGGTGACAATTTTAGATCTTTCCTGCTTTCTCTTGTGGGCGTTTGGTGCTATAAATTTCCCTCTACACACTGCTTTGAATGTGTCCCAGAGATTCTGGTATGTTGTGTCTTTGTTCTCATTGGTTTCAAAGAACATCTTTATTTCTGCCTTCATTTTGTTATGTACCCAGTAGTCATTCAGGAGCAGGTTGTTCAGTTTCCATGTAGTTGAGAGGTTTTGAGTGAGTTTCTTAATCCTGAGTTCTAGTTTGATTGCACTGTCGTCTGAGAGACAGTGTGTTACAATTTCTGTTCTTTTATATTTGCTGAGGAGTGCTTTACTTCCAACTATGTGGTGAATTTTGGAATAGGTGCGGTGTGGTGCTGAAAAGATTGTATATTCTGTTGATTTGGGGTGGAGAGTTCTGTAGATGTCTATGAGGTCTGTTTGGTGCAGAGCTGAGTTCAATTCCTGGGTATCTTTGTTAACTTTCTGTCTCGTTGATCTGTCTAATGTTGACAGTGGGGTGTTAAAGTCTCCCATGATTATTGTGTGGGAGTCTAAGTCTCTTTGTAGGTCAGTAAGGACTGGCTTTATGAATCTGGGTGCTCCTGTATTGGGTGCATATATATTTAGGATAGTTAGCTCTTCTTGCTGAATTGATCCCTTTGCCATTATGTAATGGCCTTGTTTGTCTCTTTTGATCTTTGTTGAGTTAAAGTCTGTTTTATCCAAGACTAGGATTGCAACCCATGCCTTTTTTGCTTTCCATTTGCTTGGTAGATCTTCCTCCATCCCTTTATTTTGAGCCTATGTGTGTCTCTGCACGTCATATGGGTTTCCTGAATACAGCACACTGATGGGTCTTGACTCTGTATCCAAATTGCCAGTCTGTGTCTTTTAATTGGAGCATTTAGCCAATGTACATTTAAGGTTAATATTGTTATGTGTGAATTTGATCCTGTCATTATGATGTTAGCTGGTTGTTTTGCTCGTTACTTGATGCAGTTTCTTCCTAGCTTTGATGGTCTTTACAATTAGGCATGTTTTTGCAGTGGCTGGTACCAGTTGTTCCTTCCCATGTTTAGCGCTTCCTTCAGGAGCTCTTTTAGGGCAGGCCTGGTGGTGACAAAATCTCTCAGCATTTGCTTGTTTGTAAAGTATTTTATTTCTCCTTCAGTTATGAAGCTTAGTTTGGCTGGATATGAAATTCTGGGTTGAAAATTCTTTTCTTTAACAATGTTGAATATTGGCCCCCACTCTCTTCTGGATTGTAGAGTTTCTGCCGAGAGATCAGCTGTTAGTTTGATGGGCTTCCCTTTGTGGGTAACCCGACCTTTCTCTCTGGCTGCCCTTAACATTTTTTCCTTCATTTCAACTTTGGTGAATCTGACAAGTATGTGTCTTGGAGTTGCTCTTCTCGAGGAGTATCTTTGTGGGATTCTCTGTATTTCCTGAATTTGAATGTTGGCCTGCCTTGCTAGATTGGGGAAGTTCTCCTGGGTAATATCCTGCAGAGTGTTTTCCAACTTGGTTCCATTCTCCCCATCACTTTCAGGTACACCAATCAGACGTAGATTTGGTCTTTTCACATAGTCCCATATTTCTTGGAGGCTTTGTTCGTTTCTTTTTATTCTTTTTTCTCTAAACTTCTCTTCTCGCTTCATTTCATTCATTTCATCTTCCATCGCTGATACCCTTTCTTCCAGTTGATCACATTGGCTACTGAGGCTTGTGCATTCGTCACATAGTTCTCATGCCATGGTTTTCAGCTCCATCAGGTCCTTTAAGGACTTCTCTGCATTGGTTATTCTAGTTAGCCATTCGTCTAATTTTTTTTCAAGGTTTTTAACTTCTTTGCCATTGGTTCGAATTTCCTCCTGTAGCTCAGAGTACTTTGATCGTCTGAAGCCTTCTTCTCTCAACTCATCAAAGTCATTCTCTGTCCAGCTTTGTTCCGTTGCTGGTGAGGAGCTGCGTTCCTGTGGAGGAGGAGAGGCACTCTGATTTTTAGAGTTTCCGGTTTTTCTGCTTTGTTTTTTCCCCATCTTTGTGGTTTTATCTGCCTTTGGTCTTTGATGATGGTGAAGTACAGATGGGTTTTTGGTGTGGATGTCCTTTCTGTTTGTTAGTTTTCCTTCTAACAGACAGGACCCTCAGCTGTAGGTCTGTTGGAGTTTGCTGGAGGTCCACTCCAGACCCTGTTTTCCTGGGTATCAGCAGTGGTGGCTGCAGAACAGCAGATATTGGTGAACCGCGAATGCTGCTGCCTGATCTTTCCTCTGCAAGTTTTGTCTCAGAGGAGTACCTGGCCGTGTGAGGTTTCAGTCTGCTCCTACTGGGGGTTGCCTCCCAGTTAGGCTACTCAGGGTTCAGGGACCCACTTGAGGAGGCAGCCTGCCCGTTCTTAGATCTTAAGCTGCATGCTGGGAGGACCACTACTCTCTTCAAAGCTGTCAGACAGGGACATTTAAGCCTGCAGAGGTCACTGCTGCCTTTTGTTTGTCTGTGCCCTGCCCCCGGAGGTGGAGCCTACAGAGGCAGGCAGGCCTCCGTGAGCTGTGGTTGGCTCCACCCAGTTCGAGCTTTCCTGCATCTTTGTTCACCTACTCAAGCCTGGGCAATGGTGGCAGCCCTTCCCCTAGCCTCGCTACCGCCTTGCAGTTTGATTTCAGACTGCTGTGCTAGCAATGAGCGAGGCTCCATGGGCGTAAGACCCTCCGAGCTAGCCAGGTGCAGGATATAATCGCTTGGTGTGCCATTTGTTAAGCCCGTTGGAAAAGTGCAGAATTAGGGTGGGAGTGACCCAATTTTCCAGGTGTCGTCTGCTACCCCTTACTTTGACTAGGAAAGGGAATTCCCTGACCCCTTGTGCTTCCCGGGTGAGGTGATGCCTCGCCCTGCTTCTGCTCATGCACAGTGTGCTGCACCCACTGTCCTGCACCCACTCTCCAGCACTCCCCAGTACGATGAACCTGGTACCTCAGTTGGAAATGCTGAAATCACTTGTCTTCTGTGTCACTCACACTGGGAGCTGTAGACTGCAGCTGTTTCTATTAGGCCATCTTGGCTCCACGCCCTCTTTTTCTTTCAAATAAAAATATATTTTAAATTTTCCTTCAAATAAAAATATAATTTCAAGTATAATACAATTATTATACCACATATTACATTATAATATAGTAATTATATTGTAATTATTATATTAGTATATTAAAATTATAATATAACTACTATATTATAATTATTATATAGTATTATATACTACTCTAATTACTATATTATATAATTAATTATACCAATTATATATTATAAATATATAATTATTATACCAATTATATATTATAAATATAAAATTATTATACTAATTATATTATAATTAGTATAATTATCTATATTATATTATATAGTATGTAGTATAATACTTATATTATATAGTATGTAATATAATAATTATAATATAATATTATAAATTATAATATAATGTATTATATTATATTAAATTAATTTAATATAATGTAATATATTATATTATAATTAATTTAATATAATGTATTATATTATATCAATTCATATTCATATTATATTATTTATATTAATTATTAATTATTAATAAAAATTAATTTATTTATATTATAATAATTATAATATGATATATTATATTATAATATAATATAATATAATATAATATAATTATAATATATATTTAATTAAATATTATATATTTAATTATATATTATATATAATTAAATATATATTATATAATATCTCTATTATACTAATTATATTATAATTCTTATAATTATAAATATTACAATTATATAATTATAATTATTATAATTATAATATATATAATAAAATTATAATTTTATTATAATATAATTACTATAGTATAATTATTCTAATTAATTTACCATATAGTCTCCTATTCTTTATTTATTCTCCTATTCTATTCTTCTATATATTTTTTTTCTACATGACATTTTGTTGCTTGATATTCAACCTAGGGAGATGCATGGCCATGGCACGATTTACATACACACACTCACACATACACATGATCATCCACCAGCTAGTCTTGGTTTGTAGCATTTGCCAATTTTGGTGGTGTAAATACTCCCACTATAGGCAACTTCAAGCTAAAACAGATACAAAGGAAGTTAGGAAATTCCCTATTGACAAAAAATGGAGTATATACCATAAGGACATAATGCAATTTATGAAAAAGGTTAAAACCTTTAGTTACCTAAAGCTTTGATTTGCACACAATGCTGGCTACAATATTGTTGTATATTTCAAAATTGCTAAAAGAGTAGATTTTAAATGTTTTCCTCACAAAAAATAATAGGCATATGAGATGATGTATTTGTTAATTACCCTGATTTAGTCTTTCCACATTGTAAGCATATATCAACACATCACACACTGTACCTCATAAATATACACAATTATTATTTGTCAAATAAAAATATTTTTTTAAAAAATAAAATAAAACCAAAAATAAATTCTCCAATGCTCTACATAACTTGCATACTAGAAAAGTGTGATGCATTCCTGAGACAGTGTTTACTTCTTGAGGTGGGGCTTTAGAACTTTAAATAGAACCAAAGGTTTTATAGAAAGCTAAAACAGATCCATTTTGAAACACTAGATAGGTGTTTTGGAATCTATAATTTCTCTATAGATTTGAAAATATTACCTATCTCCTTTTATCTAATTCATAAAGTAATATCATTGGGACAATGAGGTAAATTTCTGAGATAAACACAGCTAAGTGGTTGAAAAGAGACACCTTAGCATCTCCTGCTCAGCCCAAAATGTACCTCTTTGTGCATGTTTCCATTATCTGCTGGACCATGTTGTTATTTTCTGCGGGACACTTCATTGCTTGGCATTCAATCTAGGTAGATTCATGGACATGACATTCTTTATACAAACACTCTCTCACACACACTCATACACCAAAGGATCATAGTTTGAAGTATTTGCCAATTTCAATAGTATAGTTTCACCACAGCCAATTTCAAGCTATCAACATGATATCACTGAACACAAACTTGAAAGGAGGTATGTAGTAGCATTCTATTATATAGTATTTCTACCACACATATACAACAGTCATAGAAACCTCAAAAGCATATATAATAGTAAAATGTAGAAAACTAATTGGAACGTGATGAGATTTGAGTATTTACTACCTTTGTTTTTGACATAACTAAGAAATTTCATATAATTTATTTTTTATAATCACTATTTTTAACAATAAATTCAAACATTTCTGAAAATGTAACAATCAGCTCTCTGAGTGCATGCAAGACAATTCCAGTACTTCACCAATTCTCAGAGAAGTGCATTATTGTTGAGCAGCCAAATTAATTGTTTGAATTTATATAATTATTATTTATGGTCTGCAAAAAAAAAAAACTATGATGTCAATACACATGAAAAGGTTTTTCATCGTGCACATGTTTGAAAGTCAGTGTGGCAAGGTGGAATATAGATGAAAGTGGTTTCAAAAGGCCTGCTCTCGAGTTCCAGTCATCATATGTGAATATGAATAAATTACTTAGGAGAACATGTGGTATTATTTTTCAATTGGATCATATGAGATAGTGATTCTGAGGGTTTTTTGAAAATGCGCATTTTTTTTAAATAATTAGTGAAATGTGTTTTGAGAGCATGGGTAATTAAAGTACAAATTGAAATACCCAGGCATCTCATAAGGCACAAATGTTCCTTGATAGTATTAAAAGTCAGAATTTGTTATAGTAAGGTAGGAGTGGTTTTATATCATTAGTTCAAGTCGCTAAGAGCTTTTTCTGTACTTTTGAAGCCCTTAAGTGATCTGACCATTCAAGTTGAGTTCAATCACCTGTAAAGGGTAGACATCTGTAGCTAAGTTAAAGCCTAGTTAAAACATACGTACACGGAACTTCTAAGGTGACTCTAAGACACACCTTTCTCAGCCATGTTTCTGCTGTTGGGCTTTAAATCACTGAATGCACAGACTAAATGTTCTGCTTCGACCTTCTCTTCACATGACACCTTTAGAAGAACAATGCCCCTAGAGCAGGACTCTTGGTCCAAACATGGCCTGGTGCCTGCTTTTATACTGCTTTTGTGCTACAACAGTAAATCAAGTAGTTGTGACAGAGACTGTTGGTGTGAAATACCTAAAATGTCTTCTGCCTGACCATTTATAGGATAGGTTTGCTGACTCCTGCTCTAGAGGATGTGATTCAAACACTAACTGCCAGTGGCAGGGATGGTGTCAGTAGTAGGCTATTAAATGTAGTGTAAACCCTGATCAGTTAACATTATGCCAGGAGTATTAATGGGAGTATTATTTATAATCTGCACTTTCTGAGGTATTCTGAGCTCCACTGAGTTACCTCTGGGACTACCTTAAGAGGCAAATGGTCAGACAGTCTGGCCTCCAGATCCCAAATAAGTAGTATATTTGGGTTCCACTTAAGGTTCCTATGAAAAAAGTTCAGCTTACTGCTAAAAATGCATACATATATTATATATATTATCAATTAGATGCATATAATTAATAATAAGTCAATATATCATTCCTGTAATCCCAGCACTTTGGGAGGCTGAGGCGAGTAGATCACTTGAGCCCAGCAGGTGGAGGATGTAGTGAGCTGTGATCATGCCACTGCACTCCAGCATGGGCAACAGAGTGAGACCCTGTCACCAAAAAAATAAAAAATTTTAAAAAGTCAATAAAATCCAAATTAAGATATCAAATATTGTTGGACCGGAAAATAAACTGTGTCATATTGGGCTTCTAAGCCAACCTGGAACCAGTGATTAAGCAGAAATTATAGCTAAAAACATACTGGGACATGAATGGAAGCAGTTGAAGATACTGCAATCTAAGTGGCTTCAAGAGGCAATTACTTTGTTCAAGAGGGAGTGAGACGTGACTACCTTTGCATTTTTAATGTCTCTCTGGGCCTGATAATTTAAGGGACTTTCATTCCTCAGATTAAACATTTTTTTTTATTTCTCAATTACATAAAAACTTCACAAACTATTCAACTGCCAGCCAAGAGATGTAGCACTGGCCCTCAATATGCTCAGAGTCAGCTGTGGAGTTCTACATGAGCATTTTCCCACTTCCTCCTGATGCTGCTTTTGTGTGTTTTGTTCACTGTAATAATTTTTTCAAAGGGAACTTACATAAATGTCCAGGGCACTATATTTTTCTAATGTTAGTGTAAATACACCCCACAGGATAAATTAAAAGGTGACATTGACATTTCCTTTTTATAATTAATTGGGGTTAACAATGGCCTAAAGATTAGCACACCTAATTTATTTTATGAAGAAACAAAGATCTATTTTCACTAAATTAGCTCTGGTTATACTGCAAATAAATCCAGTTTTTAGGTATTCTCTTCTTTGAAGCATCAGAAAAAATGTATATTCCCTTTCTTACTCCTATGCCATTTTTTGAATTCATTAAAATATACCATATTTCTTTGTGTTTTAATATATTATAGTTTGCATTCCTTTAATCAGTTTTCCACTTACTTAAAAAGTCTCCATTCCCCCCACCTCCAACTCCTGGAAACTACTATTGTGGACTCCACTTTTATGAGTTCAACTTTCTTAGATTCCACATGTAAGTGATATCATTCAGTATGTGTCTATCTGTGCCTTGCTTATTTCATTTATCATATTGTTGCAAATGACAAATTTTCCTTCTTTTCTAAAGGCTGAATAGTGAATAGAATTCCATTATGTATGTATGGTGACTATAGTTAATAATAACAATGCATTGTATAATTGAAAATTGCTGAGAGAGTACATTTTAAATGTTGAATATCCACATGCAGAAGAATAAAACCGGACCAATCTCTCACCATATAGAAAAATTAACTCAAAATCGATTACAGACTTAAATGTAAGACCCAACATTATAAAACTACTAGAAGAAAACATAGGGAAAATGTTTCAGGACATTGATCTAGGAAAAGATTTCATGGCTAAGACTTCAAAAGCACAGGCAACAAAAACAAAAATAGACAGGTGGGACTATATTAAACTAAAAGCTTCTGCACAGTAAAGGAAACAATCAACAGAGTGAATAGACAAACTATTGACTAGGGAAAAATATTTACAAACTATCTAACAAGGAAACAATATTCAGAATATAAAAAGAACAATATGCAGAATATAACAGCAAAAACAAAAGGCAAAACAAAGAACAAAGAATACCACTAAAAAGTGGGCAAAAAATCTAAACAAACATTTCTCAGAAAACATACAAATGGCCAGCAGGTATATTTAAGAATACTCAATATCATTAATCATCAAGGAATTGCAAATCAAAACTACTATCAGATTTCATCTCATCCCCGTTAAAATGACTATTATCAAAAAGACAAGAATAGCAAAATGTTAGTGAGGATGCAGAGAAAAGGGACTCATATACTGGTGGCGGGAATGAAAATTAGTACAGCCTTTATGGAAAACAATGCAGAGGTTTCTCAAAAAACTCAAAATAGAACTACCATACAATCCAGCAATTTCCCTACTGGGAGTTTATCCAATGAAAAGGAAATTACTATATCAAAAAGAGACCTGTACCCTCATGTTTATTGCAGCACTATTCACTGTAGCCAAGATATGGAATAAACCTAAGTGTCCATTAACATATGAATGGATAAAAAAAAGTGTTATATATTTACAATAAAATGCTATCCAGCCATAAAAAATGAATGAAATCCTGTTATTTGCAGCAACATGGATGGAACTAGAGGTCATTATGTTAAGTGAAATAAGCCAGGTACTGAAAGACAATATCACATGTTCTCCCTCATACATAGGAGTTAGAAAACTTGATCTCATGGAGGTGGCGAGTGGAATGATTGTTACCAGAGCCTGGGAAAGAGGTGTGTCGGGGAAGATGGTGATGAAGAGAGGTTGATTAATAAGTATTAACATACAGTTAGATAGAAAGAATAACTACTACTGCTTGACAACACAGTAGGGTGACTTTGGTCAATAATTTATTGTTTTATTGTCAGTTGCCTGGTCATTAAAAATAAAAAAAAAGTTTAAAAAGTGTATTGTATTTTGAAAAATAACTGGTTATAAGATTTGAAATGTTCCCACCACAAAAAAAGATGAGCATTTGAGGTAATAGATTTATCAATTTCAAAAATAAAATAAAATAGTTCAACAAATATTTAAAGAGCTTATTAGGTATAGGGCATGGTGTTAAGTAATAAGAGAGCTAACATCGTTACACAGGTATTTCTTATTATAATATTTGTTTCATTCATTAATTCACTTATCCATTCATTCAACACATTTATACCAATAGATTATTTGTTTTAGACACAGGAAAACAGTAGTGTGTTATGTAAGTTTTATGAGACAAGAATTCTGCATTATTGTGACCCGGGAATTCTAACAGGATAGTTAAATTTAAACATAAAATATATAATGATACATTTAGACAGTTAAAGCTACTAAGAAAACCAACCAGAATAATGTGATAGTTATATAAGGCTGAGGGTATTGTGACTATTCAAACCTATCATGTTGAGGAGGTGACATCTGTGCTAACATATGGACTGCAAGTGTCTTTTAGAGATTTGATCCTATATTAATATATATTTATTTTTGTGTATTGTTCATGTATGTATCTTCCCCAACAAATGAATGATAGGCTAGATTAGACAACAAGTTTCAAAATTTATAGATTAAAATGAGTATTGATTTGAACCTACTTCAAATTGCTTTCACTTTAATTTACATCTGAACCTATAACCACACAGTACAAAGGATAGAACAGACCAGAAGAACTAAAAAGTTGACACAACTTCCTAGTGATTCCCTAGGTATCATGAAGACATACCCTGAGTTCCCTGTTCAATGCAGTCCACCTAAAATTCTAGTATGCCATGGCTACGCGTGGTGGCTCACGCCTGTAATCCCAGCACTTTGGGAGGCCGAGGTGGGTGGATCACGAAGTCAAGAGATCGTGACCATCCTAGCCAACATGGTGAAACCCCGTCTCTACTAGAAATACAGAAAAAATTAGCTGTGTGTGGTGGCACATACCGGTAGTCCCCGCTACTCAGGAGGCTGAGGCAGGAAAATTGCTTGAATCTGGGAGACGGAGGTTGCAGTGAGCCGAGACCGTGCCACTGCACTCCAGCTTGGCCATAGAGCGAGACTCCGTCTCAAAAAATAAAAAATAAAAAAAACTCTAGTATGCCATTTTCCTGGAGAAGCAGAGAAACCCAGATCTGTGGCTTACTGAAGTTATATCATTAGGCTGAGAAACAAGCTTTATCAAAACTCAAGGCTCTACCTAAATCTACATAAAGGAATTCATAATGGGATTTTTTCTGCACCATAATTATGTACTTCCTTTGATTAATTCTTAAGGTATAAATAAAATTACATTAGATTAGGCCAGCACCTACAAAGACAGTAAATTCTCTGAGGGAGGAATAAAAAAGTCCTTCCTTGCCTCTACCAGTTTCTGGTGGCTTCAGGCATTCCTTGGTTTGTGACAGCATAACGCTAATTACCTCTCCTTTTGACTTCACATGGCTTTCTCCATTGAATCTTTCTGAGTCAAATTCCCCTTTTGCCTTTCTCTTATATGGAACCCTGTCCTTGGTTTGACACCTTCAAAGGCTAATTTTTCCAAATAAGCTCGTGTTCACAGGAGTTAGGAAATAGGCATATCTTTCTGGGGAGCACAGTTCAACTCACTACACTTACTAATAGTAAGTACCACAAAATTTAGCATTTAATTGATCTCCAACGGTTCTCTTCTGCTACTTTTTTTTTTCCATTTGCAATAGCGTCTGTTTTATAGTAGGGATTAGACCTTGGAGGAACTGCCTTCTATCATTCTGACACAGATTTATTGACTCCAAAAGCATTATTATTGTCTCCTGTCACTAAGCACTGAGACCTTTTATACTATGACATATATAAAAGCTTAAATTATAATTTTCATTAATCTTTTTTCATTTTGCGACTCAATTTTCTTATTTGCAGGAGATAGCAATGGCATATACTTCACATGATTAGTGTCACAACTGAATGAAATAACATATCTAAAGTAATTTGCAAATGTAAGTCAATATACTAAAAGTATAATTAAATCATTAGTCTGATGACTGTGATCAACTTGGAAGATTTTGAAATTAAAAGAAAGTCTTCCACTTTATGGAAGTTATATGTTGGTTGTCTACCAAATAGTCTTCCGAATTCCACCTTTCATAAAACCTTTATTTATGACTGGCAAGGTCTTGCCCCTCAATATAGAGGACAAAATATCTAACACATCCCCAGCCTTCACTGTAGCTAGGACATAGTCATTATGGATAACAGAACCTGAGAGAAAGGGCTTTGGAAGATCTGAGGAAAGGTTTTCATCCTTCAGAGAAAGAGATAAGCAAAGAAAAACTATCCCATTTTTTGGTGTGTGCCTGTGGATGTGACTATGTGACTATAAGCTGTACTAGTTGCATCAGTCTTCTTGTAAATACAAAGATACAAGTCTGAGAAGAAAGGCAAGCAGACAGAGGATGCTACCTCATAAAGAAGAAGAGTCTGAATCCTTAATGACTTGA
Source organism: Homo sapiens (assembly GCF_000001405.40). Classification (NCBI taxonomy): domain Eukaryota; kingdom Metazoa; phylum Chordata; class Mammalia; order Primates; family Hominidae; genus Homo; species Homo sapiens. The sequence goes on along the minus strand of NC_000006.12, from coordinate 49,088,832 downwards.
TGACGTCACTACGTCAATTCTAAAACTACCTTGCTTTCAAATCTCGGGAGAAAAAATTAATTTTCATATTCTTTAAGCTAATATTTTGCTAGTTGTTGGCAAAGGCATCCTAAGTAATGTCCCTTCTACTATTTGCTTCACCGGCACAGATTAAGTGCTTAACATGTCCACAGATTGATTTAAAATTATATTACTCTTCATCTTATGCTTGTGTTAGCTGGGGAAGCAGACAATATTCTTATTTATTTTGAGGCAAAGATAGAAAATCTCAGAGCACTGAAGAAACATTATCCAGATTACATGTCAATATGCTTAACTGAATTTCATAGATCAGAGATCTGAAGTAAACAAGTGCAAAATTTAAAGAAGGGGCCAAATACAGTGGCTCGCACCTATAATCTCAACACTTTGGGAGGCCAAGGCAGGAGGATTGCTTGAGCCAAGGAGTTTGAGACCAGCATGGGCAACATAGTGTGACCCTGTCTCTACGGTATAATAGAAAAGAGAAATTAGCTGGGCATGGTGGCATGCACCTATAGTCCCATACTTGGGAGGCTGATGTGGGGGGGTCACTTGAACTCAGGAGGTCGAGGCTGCCCCATGAGTTGTGATTTTGCCACTGCATTCTGGCCTGGGTTAAAGAACAAGACCTTGTCTCAAAAAAATTTTTTTGAAAGAAGACATGCCTTAAGCAAGAAATAAAAACTGATATGAAAAGCAAAACTCTGCTCTCTAGAAGAGTTTTACAATGGCAGTTTTGCAGATGGGAGAACAAAGTTTTATAGCTTAATACTTAACAGATATCTGTTCCTTCGATTGTGGTTACTACTAAAATTTTCTCTAATCTCTATTTTTTCCCATGCTGACAGTTTTCACTTGTGGGGTCGCCACTAAGAAATATACAGAATTCTGGCCCATAGTGAATTTAAATTCAGAAATGCTAGCCTAGAATATGCTCACAACTACTCACATTTATGAGTGAGGTTTTCTTGGAGATGAGTCCTTACCTAATCTCAATTCTATTATTATAATTTGAGCCACCTACATCATAAGCATTTAAGAAATTGTTTTTCAGGCTGTGATCATAATAAAAATTGCATCAAATAAATTTTACCAGGTGAGCAATCAAGAGTGCTGAAGTATTGCTTTCCGATTCTATCCTAGCCAGCAATTTAGCTCTCAGCAAGAAGACTCAATGTCACTTGAAAGACTGATGAATTCTCTTAAATAATTGCAGGATGTTGGAAGCATTACTGGCAGGAAAGCTGGCTTACTTTTTAGTGGTTGAAATAATTTCATGACTCATAGCATTGATTAGGAACATAACGGCTGTCCAACATAAGCAGCTGACCAAGGCTCCATTTGCAGTCACAGCTGGAGCTGCTGGAAGTCGTCTTCCAAATATCAGTGCAGAGAAACCTGCTTTGAAGAGCTCAAGTTGAAGTTGCAAATGGAATTACAGACAACCTAGCCACCTATCACATTGGCTTTGTCTCTCCTCATCTTAGTGAGAGGTATCATCTCTTAGGCCTGAGGTTGTAACTATCCATAACATTTTTGATATTGTATTTCAATGGCTCTGCTGCATCTCTTTAATATAACAATTCTCAATATTATTTGTCCATAAAAATTATCTTTGGTGAAATGTAGATTGCTGGATTCAGTCTTCTGAGATTCAATCTCAGAGTTCAAACAGTGTGAGGCACAATTTTTAACAATGGCTTCTCCTCCTCCAGATGATTCCTCATAGGATACCTGAACTTCTCTTCGAAAGGCATATATGAGTGATACAAACAGTGGATTGTATAGTAAAATTAATATTATTAGAAAAGGACTGTAGTTAGGTATATACTAAATATTTACACCTGCATTTTAAAGGTATAACATAAATTATAACAAAAATTCTAGGACCTAGGAATAAGGTGATCAGATTGAGCAATTGAGCAAATAAAATTACAGAACACTCAGTTAAATTTGAATTATAGAAACACAATAAATTTTTTAAAATTACTTTCTATTCAATATTTGGAACATACTTATGTTAAAAATAATATATGTTGTTTATCTAAAATTGTGTCCTATATTTTATCCAGCAATCTTGTCTAGGCAGGGTAACCTATTTATGAATTTGAATTATCACTTAGCCTCTAAGAATAAAGCTACACTAGGCTATTAATAAAATTCCTTAAAGTTTTATATATAGGGATCTATGTTCCACAAATACTGTCTTAGTCAGAAATTGGATCCCAAACTGTAAAATCTTCAGAAAGTTGGTTTTGCTAAACCATTGTTACTAAGTTAACTTATATAAGTTTAGACATTTAGGAGATATTATTTATAAAATATTAACAGTTATAGCCCAAAAGCTTAGTGGCAAATTTAATGTCACTTCATTTCTTGTAGGACAAGTCTGGTGTTGTTGAAGTCCCTCAAATTTGTTTTTCTGGGAGAGTATTTCTTCCTCGTGTTTGAAGGATAGTTTGCTGGATACAGTAATCTAGAATAGAAGTTTTTATTTTTTATTATTTTTTTCCTTCAGGACTTCAAATATGTCATGCTACTCTCTCCTGGCCTGTAACATTTCCACTGAAAAGTCTGCCATGTCTTTGCATATTATTTGTTTCTCTTCTTTTTCTGTTTTTAAGGCCTTACTTTATCTTTGTCCTCTGGAAGTTTGATTATTATTGAGTTAGTCTTATTTGGGTTAAATCTGCTTGGAATTCTATAAACTTGTTGTACTTTAACATTGATATTGTTCTCTAGGTTTAGAAAATTCTCTATTACTATCTTTTTGAATAAAATTACTATTACTATCTTTTTGAATATTACTATCTTTTTGAACAAAATTTCTACTGCCTTTCTACCGCCTCTTTAAGGCCAAAAACTCTTAGATTTACCCTTTTGAGCCTATTTTCTATATTTTGCAGGAATGCTTCATTCTTTTCTATGCTTTTTTTCTTTTTTTTTCCTCCAACTGTGTATTTTCAAATAGTCTTGTCTTTAAGCTCACGATTTTTGTCTTCTTCTTGGTCAATTTTGCTGTTAAGAACCTGTTATGCATTCTTCAATATGTCAATTGCATTTTTCTACTTCAGAATTTCTGCTTTATTCTTTTTAATTATTTCAATCTCTTTGTAAAATTTATCTGGTAAATTTTACAGAGGAATTCACAGAGCTGAATTCCTCTTCTGTGTTATCTTAAATTTCATTGAGCTTCTTCAGAACACCTAATTTGAATTATCTACCTGAAAAGTTACACATATTTGTGTTTCTGGGATTGGTCACTGATGCCTTCTTTGTTTCATTGGGTGAGGTCATGTCTTTCTGGATAATCTCAATGCTCACGGATGTTCGTGGGTGTCTTGGCAATGAAGAGTTAGATATTTATTGTAGTCTTCATAGTCTGAGCTTGCGTATACCCATACTTCTTGAGAAAGCTTCCCAAGTATTTGAAAGGCCTTGGATGTTATGACCTAAGTCTTCAGTCACTAACACCCTATCAGCATTAGGGGATACCCCAAGCCTAGTAATCTTGTGGCTCTTGCAGACCTCTTATAGAGGTGCCCCATTAGTTACCTTGGATATGGTACAGGAGAACTCCCTAGGTTACCAGGCAGAGGCTCGTTTGCTCTTCCCTTACATTTCCCCAAAAAACCAGAATATCTTTCCCTGTGCTGAGCTTCCTTTAGCTGCAGGAATGATGATACAAGCACCCCTGTGGCCACCACGACTAGTATTGCACCGGATCAGACCTGAAACCAGCACAGTGCTGGGGCTTGCCCAAGGTTCCCAGTGACCATCGCCTGGCTACCACCTTTGTTCACTCAAGGTCTAAGGACTCTACAATCAGTAGGTGGCAATGCCAGCCAAGTTTGCCTCCTTCCCTTCTGGGTAGCCAGTTCCCTCAAGCCCTGGGCAGGTCCAGAGATGCCACCTGGGAGCCGGGGCCTGCAGCCTGGAAATTTAGGAAGCTACCTGGTGCTCTATTTTATTGCAGCTGGGCTGGCACCCAATCTACAAGACAATGTCCTTCCCACTCTTTCCTCCCCTTTCTTCAAACAGTGGATTATCTTTCTATAGCCAATACCACCTCAAGCCCACAGTAAGTACTGCCTGCCTACTGACAGTGTTCACTCAAGGCTCAATGGCTCTTCAGTCAGCTTGTGGTGAATGCTACAAAACCAAGGTCTCTTCTTCCCAGGCATTGGGCACCTCTCTGGCCCAGGGCAGGTCCAGAAATACCTCCCAGAAGCCAAGGCCTGGAATCAGAGGCCCCAAAAGCCCAACTGGTACTCTACTTCATTGTGGCTGAGCCAGTATTCAAGCTGCAAGACAAAGTCTCCTTTACTCTTCCCTCTCCTTTGCTCAAGTAGAAGGAGTCTATTCCTTTAGCTACCACAGCTAAGAATGTCCTGGGTAACATCTGAAGATAGCAGGGCTCTGAGTTTCACACAAGGCCCCTGGCAAGTACTGCCTCACTACCACTGCTGATTATTCAGGGCCAAAGAACTCTTTGGTTAGTAGGTAATAGGTCCTCCCAGGACTAGGTTTTTCCTTTCAAGAGAGCAGGTTCCTTTCTAGCCCAGGATATGTCTAGATATGTTGTCCACAGCTAGGACCTGTAATGGGAGACCTCAGGACTCTACCTGTTACCCTGTTTTCCTGTGGCTGAGCTGGTATCCAATTTGCAAGACAAAGTCCTCTTTACTTTCTCTTCTCCTCTTCTCAAGTAGAAGGAAGGAGTCTATCCCAGAGCTGTGAACTGTGCTGCCTGAAGTTGGGGGAGGGGTGATGCTAACACTTCCTAGGCTTCCCAGCCTCATGTCTCACTAGGTTACATGCACTCCAAGTCTGCTAGTTCTGAGCCCAGCACAACACCAAATCTTGCCCAGGAATTGCAGTCCTTGTGGCCTAGAGTGCCCTTCAAGTTTATTTAGAACCCCAGAGGACTTTAGCACATGGCGGCAATTCTCGTTGAAACTCAGATTCCTGCCAGCGGGATGGACAATTTGCCTCTAGCTAGGAATGACCTACATGCTTACTCCATGAGCACAAGCTTAGTTCTGCTCCGTGTTGCCTTCCACTGCGACACAGCAGCACTGAGTTCCAATGCAAAGTCCCACCATCACTGCACTCTTCATTCTCCCAAGAACACAGATTTTCTCCCTGTACTATGTGGCTATGTGGCTATTGTTGAGGGATGGAGAAGGAGTGGTGTAGGCAATTCACAACTGTTGTTTTTACCCTCTTCAGTGCATCTTCCCTTAATATCATTTAAAACTTTGTACTGTGATCACCCGCCTGATTTTTAGTTCACTTGAAGGTACTTTTTTGTGTGGAGAGTTGTTCAGTTTGGTGTTACTTCAGGGAGTATAATCACTGGAGGCTTCCATTCAGCCATCTTGTTCTGCCTCCCTCTCTATCATTATTTTTAAATGTATTCCTACTTATTTTTTAAAAGTTAACTGTAAAACAGTCTCAGACAGATCCTTCAGATAGTATTTTGAATAAGGTATTGTTATTATAGGAAATGACAGCTCTATGTTTGCTATTGACCCTAAAGACCTTCCAGTGGGACAAGATGTGGAGGTGGCAGACAGTGATATTGATAATCCTGATATTGTGTAGGCATAGATTAATGTGTGTTTTCATACCTTAGTTTCCAAAAAAAATGCTGAAAAATTTTAAAAAGTTTTTAATAGAAAAAAGTTTATAATGATATAAAGAAAGAAAATGTTTTTGTACTGCTTTACAATGTGTGTTTTAAGCCAACTGCTATTACAGAAGAGTCAAAAATTTAAAAAATTTAAAAGTTTATAAAGTAAAAATATTACTTAAAACAGTTTAAAAAATAAAAACGTTATAAAGTAAAAATGTAAGTTAGATTTATTTTAACATTGAAGAAAGAAAAATATTCTTATAAATGTAATGTAGCCTAAGTGTACAGTACTTATAAAGTTTACTGTAGTGTGCAACAATGTCCTAGGCCTATGTGTTCACTCTTCTCTCATTCAGTGACTCACTCAGGGGAACTTCCAGTACTGTAAACTCCATTCATGTTAAGTGGACAACACAGATGTACCATTCTTTATCTTTTATATCATATATTTACTACACCTCTTCTATGTTTAGATATGTTTAGATACACACATACTTATCATTATGTTGCAGTCACTTACAGTACTCATTATAGTAACTCGCTGTACAGATTGGTATTGCAGGAGCAATGAGTTATATCATATAGCCTAGATATACGGTAAGCTGTATCACCTAGATTTGTATAAAGACACTTTATGTTAGTACAGTGACACATATTGCCTAGTGACACACTTGTCCAAATGTATTCCAGTCATTCTGTATTCAAAGTGCTGAGAAAAACTCTGCAACAAAAGAATACTGTACTTGACAAAGCTGTCCTTCAGAGATGTAGAAATAAAGATATTCACAGACAAACAAAAGCTAAGAGAGTTAATCACCACTACACTTACCTTCTAAGAAATTCCAAAGTGAGTTCTTTGAGATTAAACAAAATTATGTTAAGTAATAACATGAGATCATATTAAATTATAAAGCTCTCTGGCAAAAGTAAATATAAGTCAAAATCAGAAAACTCTAATACAAAATGATGACATGAACACCAATTTTAACTCTAGTATAAAGGTTAAAAACAAGAAGATTAAAAGTAATTATAGCTATAATAACTTGTTAATGGATACACAGTACAAAAAAAAAGTATGATACCATAGCATAAAATGTCACAGATGAAGAAAGCAAAATTGTAGTTTGTGTGCAAATGACATTAACTTGCTATCAGCTTAAAAAAGAATATTATGACTATACGATATTTTATGTAAGCCTCATGGTAAGACAAAAAACAAACCTCTAGTACATGTATGAAAAAATAAATAGAAAATAATCAAAACATACCACTATTAAAAATGAACAAAACACAAGAGAAGATAACAAGAGAGAAAGAAAGGAACAGAGGAACTACAAAACAGTTAAAAAAACAACTTAATAAATGAAAATAATATCTTTACCTACCAGTAATTACTTTAAATGTAAATGGATTTAATTCTACAATCAAAAGACACAGAGTGACAGAATGGATAAAACAAAAAAAAATCCAACAATATGATGCCTACCAGAGACTTAATTTAACTTTAAGGACATACATAGACTGAAAGTAATGGGATGCAAAAAGATAAAATGAAAGTGATAACCAAAGAAAGCAAAGATGACTATAGTTATATCAGACAAAACAGAATGTCAATATCTATCACAAGAGACAGAGGAGATCACTATATAATGATAAAGGGGACAATTAATTAAGAAGCTATAACAATTGTTATTATATTTCTACCCAATATTGGAATACTTAAATATATGAAGCAAACATTAACAGAACTGAGCGATTAATACACAGCAATACAATAATAGTTGAGGACTTCAACTACCCCAGTGTCAAAAATAGACACGTAATCTGGACAGAAGATCAATAAGGAAAAATGGACTTTAATAATGCTATAGACCAAACAAACCTAACAGACATATACTAGAATATTCTATGCAATAGCAGCAAAGTACACATTTTTCTCAAGTATATGTAAAATATTCTCCAGGATATATCAAATATTAGGACACAAAACAAGTCTTAAAAAATGTAAGAAAATTGAAATCATATCAAGTACCTCTTCTACTTGACAATGGTGTGACTACAGATCAATAACAGGAGGCATTTTGGAAAATTCACAAATAGGTAATAATTTAAGAACACACTCTTGAAAACCAAGGAGTCAAAGAAGACATTAACAAGGAAATCAAAAATTATCTTGAAACAGTAAAAACAGCATGCCCAAACTTCAAGGAACTACAAAAAAAAAATGAAGTAAGAACAAAGTTAGCAAAATTAAAATTGTAATAAATATTAGAGTTGAAATAAATGAAATGGAGACTAGAAAGGCAATAGGCAATATAAAAGATCAATGAAAGGGTGTTATTTTTTGAAATGATAAACAAAATTTAAAACATAAATCAAACATTCAGCTAGACTAACCACAAAAATAAGAAAGCATTCAAATAAATATAATTATAAATGAAAGAGGAATCATTCATATGGATACCACAGAAATTTAAAGAATCATGGGACTAATATGAACAATTATATGCCAACAAAACTGGATAATCTGGAAAAAATATTTACATTTTTAGTAACATAAAACCTATTGAAACTGAATGATGAAGAAATAGATAATCTGAACAGACCAATAATGAGTAACAAGATTGAATCAGTAATCAAAAGCCTCCCAACAAAGAAAAGCCCAAGACTAGATGGCTTCATGGGGAATTTTACCAAGCATTTAAAGAACTTCAATCCTTTTCAAACTCTTCCAAAAAATTGAAGAAGAGAAAACACTTCCAAACCTATTTTATGAGACCAGCATTACTCTCAAACCAAAGCCAGATAAGGACTCTGCAAGAAAAGAAAACTATAGGCCAATATGACTGAGGAAGACATGCGCAAAAATTTTCAACAAAATGTAGTAAACAGAATTCAACAGTATGTTAAAAGAATCATACACCATGATCAAGTGGAATTTATTTCTGGGATGCCAGGATGATTCAAAATACACACGTCAGTCAATGTGATACACCACATTAACAGAATGAAGGACAAAACCCATGCGATAATCTTGACAGATGCAGAAAGAGCATTTGGCAAAATTCATCACTGTTTCATAATTACAAAAGAAATAACTCTCAACAAGTTAGATATAGAAGAAATGTACCTCAATATAATAAAAGCCATCTATTATAAAATTGCAGTTAACATCATATTCTGTGGTTAAAAGCTAAAAGTTTTTCTTCTAAGATCAGGAAAAAGACAGGTCTGTCCAGTCTTGCCACTTCCATTCAACAGAACAGTGGAATTCCTAGCCAGAGCAGTTGGCACGAAAAAGAAATAAAAGGCATCAAAATCACAAAAAGATGCTAAATCTGCTTGTAGAGGGCAAGATATATATATAGAAAACCCTAAGAACTCACCAAAAAAAAAAAAGTTAGACTAATAAAGAAATTCAACAAAGTATTATTTAACATCAACATACAAAAATCAGTTGCATTTCTGTACTCTAACAACAAACTCTCTGAAGATAAATAAAAAAAAAAATGCCATGTACAATGGCATTGAAAAGAATAAAATATTTAAGAATAAATTTGGCCGGACATGGTGGCTCATGCTTGTAATACCAGCACTTTGGGATGCCTGAGGCAGGTGGATCACTTACGATCAGGAGTTCAAGACCAACCGGGCCAACATGGCGAAACCGCATCTCTACTAAAAGTGCAAAAATTAGCCAGATGTGGGACCTGTGATCCCACCTACTAGGAATGCTGAGGTATGAGAATTGCTTGAATCCAGGAGGCAGAGGTTGCAGTGAGCTGAGATTGTGCTACTACACTCCAGCCAGCATGACAGACACTCTGTCTCAAAAAAAAAAAAAAAAAAAATTAACAAATGGATGAAAGATATATACACAGAAAAGATCAGGCATTGATGAAAGAAACTGAAAACACAAATAAATGGAGAAACAACATGTTTACAAATTCAAAGAATATTAAAATGTCCATGCTACCAAAAGCAATCAACACATTCAATGGAATCCTTAAAAATTTCAATTGCATTTGTATAGACACACACACACAAAATATTAAAATTTGTGTAGAACCATAAAAGACCCAAAATGGGAAACACAATCTTAATAAAGAAAAGCAAAGTTGAAGGTATCATACTTTCTGATTTCAAACTATATTACAAAGATATAGTAATCAAAACAGTGAAATACTGACATGAAAACAGACATATAGGACAATGGAACAAAATAGACACCCCAGAAATAAATGTATGTATATAAGATGAACTAATCTTTTACAAGAATGCCAAGAATACTCAATGGGGAAAAGATAATCTCTTCATTAAACAGTGTTGGGAAAACTAAATATCCACATGCAAAGGAATGAAACTGGACTATTATCTTACCCCATATAAAAAAACTAACTCAAAATAGATTGAAGGCGTGAATATTATATCAGAACCTGTAAAACTGCTAGAAGAAACCATAGGAATAAAGCCTCTTGATGTTGGCCTTGGCAATGAATTCTTTTATATGGCATCAAAAGCACAGGCAACAAAAGTGAAAATAAACAAATGGACTATATATAACTAAAAGGTTTTGCACAGCAAGGGGAACAATGAACAAAAAGGAAAGGCAAACTTCAAAGTGAAGATAAATATTTGCAAACCATATATCTGATAAGGGATTGATATTTAAAACATGGAATAAACTTCTATATGTCATAATAGCAAACATAAAACTGACTTAAAAATGGGAAAAAAAAAACTTGAATAGATATTTTTCCAAAGGAGACATATGAATGACCATTTTCCACTTATACAAAAATGTGCTCAACATTACCAATCATCAATAAATGCAAATCAAAAACACAATAAGATGTTACCTCACATCTATTAGGATGGCTATCATCAGAAAGACAAGAGACAAGTGTTGGTGAAAGAGGGGGTGAAGAAAATGGCCCCCTAGTATACTGTTGGTGAGAATATAAATTGGTATAGCCATTATGGAAAACAGTATAAAGTTTCCTGAAAAAAATTAAAAATTAAACCTCCATATGATCCAGCAATCCCACTTCTGGGTATATATCCAAAGGAAATGAAAACACTGTCAATGAGAATTATCACCACCATTTAAATATAATAATAGACATTTCTGGGCGACAACAAAAGTGAAAGATGTAAGTTAAAGCTACAGCAGAAGATGATGTCTTTGTGGTCCTGGGTCAATCAGCCCAGTGAGCTGAGTAAATTCACCAATCCCTTCTTTGAAGCCAACAACCTGGTCATCTGGCCTTCAGTTGCTCCACAGTCTTCCACTGTGGGAAGGTATTTTCCTACATTGGAATAGATCCTCTAAGTATTTGGATGAAGCATATGAAGAAATGGTTAACATCATTGAATATAATCAGGAATTACAAGCAAAAGTCAATATCCTTAGAAGGCAGCTGGCAGAACTGGAAACAGAGGACGAGAGGCAAGAGAGTCCCTCAAAGCTCTCCTCACACCCTTCGAAAGGACCTTCCTGGGCCTGTGTCCTCCATTCTCTCCTTGTGCCCTTCAGTTCACTTTTACAGGGTAGACTTGAAGTGAAGGCTTTAGACGTGGGACCCCTCTAATGTAATGGATTTCTCAATACTGCATGAATAATGAAACTTACTATCATAACTCATGTTTCATGGGGCCTGTTAGGCCCTGTCACTTTGGGAGCCAGAAGGAGGAGCTAGTCATTTTATTTTTACCTGAAATAGATGACCTATTTAATGTCATGCCATTTTCAAGACTAAACCAGGAAGACATTGAATCCCTGAATAGACCAATAACAGGCTCTGAAATTGAGACAATAATTAACAGCCTACCAACCAAAAAAAGTCCAGGACCAGATGAATTCACAGCCGAGTTCTACGAAAGGTACAAAGAGGAGCTGGTACCATTCCTTCTGAAAATATTCCAATCAATAGAAAAAGGGGGAATCCTCCCTGACTCATTTTATGAGGCCAGCATCATCCTGATACTAAAGCCTGGCAGAGACACAATAAAAAAAGAGTATTTTAGACCAGTATCCTTGATGAACATTGATGCGAAAATCCTCAATAAAATACTGTCAAATCGAATCCAGCAACACATCAAAAAGCTTATCCACCATGATCAAGGGGGCTTCATCCCTGGGATGCAAGGCTGGTTCAACATACAAAAATCAATAAATGTAATCCAGCATATAAACAGAACCAAAGACAAAAACCACATGATTATCTCAATAGATGCAGAAGAGGCCTTTGACAAAATTCAACGACCCTTCATGCTAAAAACTCTCAATAAATTAAGTGTTGATGGGACATATCTCAAAATAATAAGAGCTATCTATAACAAACCCACAGCCAATATCATGCTGAATGGACAAAACCTGGAAGCATTCCCTTTGAAAACTGGCACAAGACAGGGATGCCCTCTCTCACCACTCCTATTCAACATAGTGTTGGAAGTTCTGGCCAGGGAAATTAGGCAGGAGAAGGAAATAAAGGGCATTCAATTAGGAAAAGAGGAAGTCAAATTGTCCCTGTTTGCAGGTGATATGATTATATATCTAGAAAAACCCATCGTCTCAGCCCAAAATCTCCTTAAGCTGATAGGCAACTTCAGCAAAGTCTCAGGATACAAAATCAATGTGCAAAAATCACAAGCATTCTTATACACCAATAACAGACAAACACAGAGCCAAATCATGAGTGGACTCCGATTCACAATTGCTTCAAAGAGAATAAAATATGTAGAAATCCAACTTAAAAGGGATGTGAAGGACCTCTTCAAGGAGAACTACAAACCACTGCTCAATGAAATAAAAGAGGACACAAAGAAATGGGAGAACATTCCATGTTCATGGGTAGGAAGAATCAATATCATGAAAATGACCATACTGCCCAAGGTAATTTATAGATTCAATGCCATCCCCTTCAAGCTACCAATGACTTTCCTCACAGAATTGGAAAAAACTGCTTTAAAGTTCATATGGAACCAAAAAAGGGCCTGCATTGCGAAGTCAATCCTAAGCCAAAAGAACAAAGCTGGGGGCATCACACTACCTGACTTCAAACTATACTACAAGTCTACAGTAACCAAAACAGCATGGTACTGGCACCAAAACAGAGATATAAACCAATGGAACAGAACAGAGCCCTCAGAAATAATGCCGCATATCTTCAACTATCTGATATTTGACAAACCTGACAAAAACAAGCAATGGGGAAAGGATTCCCTATTTAATAAATGGTGCTGGGAAAACTGGCTAGCCATATGTAGAAAGCTGAAACTGGATCCCTTCCTTACACGTTATACAAAAATTAATTCAAGATGGATTAAAGACTTACATGTTAGACCTAAAACCATAAAAACCCTAGAAGAAAATCTAGGCAATACCATTCAGGACATAAGCATGGGCAAGGATTTCATGTCTAAAACACCAAAAGCCATGGCAACAAAAGCCAAAATTGACAAATGGGATCTGATTAAACTAAAGAGCTTCTGCACAGCGAAAGAAACTACCATCAGAGTGAACAGGCAACCTACAGAATGGGAGAAAATTTTTGCAACCTACTCATTGGACAAAAGGCTAATATCCAGAATCTACAATGAACTCAAACAAATTTATAAGAAAAAAACAAACAACCCCATCAAAAAGTGGGCGAAGGACATGAACAGACACTTCTCAAAAGAAGACATTTATGTAGCCAAAAAGCACATGAAAAAAATGTTCATGATCACTGGCCATCAGAGAAATGCAAATCAAAACCACAATGAGATACCATCTCACACCAGTTAGAATGGCGATCATTAAAAAGTCAGGAAACAGCAGGTGCTGGAGAGGATGTGGAGAAATAGGAACACTTTTACACTGTTAGTGGGACTGTAAACTAGTTCAACCATTGTGGAAGTCAGTGTGGCGATTCCTCAGGGATCTAGAACTAGAAATACCATTTGACCCAGCCATCCCATTACTGGGTATATACCCAAAGGATTATAAATCATGCTGCTATAAAGACACATGCACACATATGTTTATTGTGGCACTATTCACAATAGCAAAGACTTGGAACCAACCCAAATGTCCAACAGTGATAGAATGGATTAAGAAAATGTGGCACATATACACCATGGAATACTATGCAGCCATAAAAAACGATGAGTTCATGTCCTTTGTAGGGACATGGATGAAGCTGGAAACCAACATTCTCAGCAAACTATGGCAAGGGCAAAAAGCCAAACACCACATGTTCTCACTCATAGGTGGGAATTGAACAATGAGAACACATGGACACAGGAAGGGGAACATCACACACTGGGGACTGTTGTGGGGTGGGGGGAAGGGGGAGGGATAGCATTAGGAGATATACCTAATGCTGAATGTCCAGTTAATGGGTGCAGCACACCAACATGGCACATGTATACATATGTAACAAACCTGCATGTTGTGCACATGTACCCTAAAACTTAAAGGATAATAATAATAAAATTTAAAAAAAAGAAAGAAAAAGAAATGTATTTTTCTGAAAATAATAGTGACAACAATAATTGTATGCACAAGGATAAAATTTACTGTAAGCAATGTTGTGAACTGAAAACAGAAAAACACTAGAATCAGAACTAGAGTGAAATATTAATTCCACCATCAATGGGAAAATTATGTGAACATGCTGAGTTTATTTCTTTCTTTGTAATTTGGTAAAATCATACCTGAGTTTCCAGCATGGCTGTAAAAATTAAATGTGGGCTGGGCGCAGTGGCTCACACCTGTAATGCCAGCACTTTGGGAGGCTGAGGCAGGCGGATCACCTGAGGTTGGGAGTTCAAGACCATCCTGACCAACATGGAGAAACCCCGTCTCTATTAAAAATACAAAATTAGCTGGGCGTGGTGGCACATGCCTGTAATCCCGGCTACTCCGGAGGCTGAGGCAGAAGAATCGCTTGAACCTGGGAGGCAGAGGCTGGGGTGAGCTGAGATTGTGCCATTGCCCTCCAGCCTGGGCAACAAAAGCAAAAAAAAAAAAAAAAAAAATTAAATGTGAGTGCCTGGCACAGAAGTAAGCACAGTGGAGGAGCCCCACTAAGCTCTTACCCTGCTCTCTGCCTTTCTGGGCTCTCTCTCATCTATACCTTTTCTCCAATGCTTTAGGCCATTTATCTAGTTTTTTCTACTTTCCGTGTGAAATTTTCATTGTTTATGGTAACTTTTTAAATTATGAATAAGATTTACTCACCCCAACATAAATGCTCAGAGCATTCTTTTCTCCACTATTTGCAAGCTGTCTGAGAAATAACTTCCTTGGTGAAATTTTCATAAAGTGAGATTTTAGGCATAAATAATGATTAAGAGTGTGTTTATTTTGGTCTTCTACCATTCCCTAACCCAAAGATTTGGAAAGAATCTGCATCTCTGGTCTGCAGATCTCATGAAAAGAATGCTGAGCATACGATATTTCCAAATAATATGTCTAGGAACAGTTCCCTGAATACCATCTACCATCTCTTGTCAAATGATATTTCATTGCAGAAATGGTAAAAATTGCTTCTGAGTTGTGAAGATTTGAGTGAGAATAGAAGTATCCTTGTATCTAGGAAAGTGCAAATGTTTGAAGGAATCAATCTTGAATGTACCACACATCATTTCTACCATATTCTATCAAAGAAAAGCCATACGACATGGCCCTGCGCTATTAAAAAGAGCCTGGGAAAGGAAATTAGGTACATACTTGGGAGGAGTAAGAAATTACGCTTTTAATTTATTACACTGTACTTATCACAAGCATGAGAAACCAATTGGCAGAATAAAAACAAGTTATTCATATATTAAAATCATTCCTTTTAGTTAGAGAAAGGGCATCTCAATGGCCACAACACCAAGCAAAAGTCTTCATTCATATGAGTGCTCAGTATTAATTAAACAATTTAAGATGCCCAGGAAAATAGATACATAATGTTTTAGTTACAATGTTATAATGAAGATAATCTTTATAGCTTACTTTAATTTCAGGCAAGTGGTTTTGTTTCTCCTGGAGTGTCAGACATGGGGCTGCTGTGGTGAGGGATACTGTTGCCTTTTTGGGTTTTTTTCTTTCTCTCTGGTGACTAGTGGTATCAGGTGTCGGAGAGAGGAGGGGAGCTGGTGAGTACTATGTGATTTCCCTCCCTTCCTTCCTTCCATCTCTCCTTCCTTCCTTCCTTCCTTCCTTCCTTCCTTCCTTCCTTCCTTCCTTCCTTCCTTCCTGACAGAATCTTGCTCTGTCACCCAGGCTGGAGTACAGTTGGTGCAACCTTGGCTCACTGCAACCTCCACCTCTCGGGTTCAAGCGATTCTCATGCCTCAGCCTCCCGAGTAGCGAGGAGACGTGTGCCACCACACCGGGATAATTTTTGTAGTTTTAGGAGAGAGGGGGTTTCGCCATGTTGGTCAGGCTGTTCTCAAACTCCTGACCTCAGGTGATCACCCGCCTCGGCCTCTCAAAGTGCTGGAATTACAGGAGTGAGCCACCGTGCCTGGCCTATGTGATTTCTATAACATTCTTGAGGTTTAAGAATGAGAAGTTATTAAAGTTATTCCAGTCTCCCTACCCTGGCTGTTTACGCTCCTCCTTCTCCTTCTTCTTTTTGCATGCCTTTTTTATTTCCAGTCTTCTGCTAGGCTGTGCATAAATTGAATAGATGAGTGAATCTGAGAGACAGGTGCTTGTCTTTTGAGAATTTAGATTTTGCAGGAAACATGACTGTACTGACAGAAATACAAAAATGGCTCTTATCTTCAGTTTAAGATGGAACAATCCGAAACCTGCATGTTCATTGGATAATCAAACCCCATTTCCTCAAGTTTAGCTGAGATTCACTTCCTGGCAACTTGTACAAACCAGTCTTTCTCTGCCCTCTATAGCCACAATAATGAGCTTGCTGCACCAGACTGTCTAATCCTGCAAAAATTTAGTTAAGGTCACAATATGGGCAACTTTGTGTGAAAATAGAAAATATAAAACTACATTCATATTTTTTCTGTACTCTTACAAAGAGATAAGCAGTTAAACACATAAAATACAGATCATTCTTTGAGATAATCTCTAACAAATATAGAAGATAATATTTTATTTTATTATTTATTTATTATATTTTACTTTATTTATTTATTTTTGTCTTGATAGGGTTTCACTGAAGTGCAATAGCATAATCATAGCTCACTCACTGCAGCCTCGACCTCCTGGGCTCAAACTGTCTTCCCACCTCAGCTTCTGAAGTAGCTGGGACTACAGGCACATGCCACCATGCTTGGCTAATTAAAAAACAGAAAAATTTTTTTTTTCTTTGTTGAGGCGGGGTTCTTACTATGTTGCTGAGGCTGGTCTTGAGCTCCTGGGCTCAAGTGATCTTCCCATCTTGGCCTTCCAAAGTGCTGGGATTACAGAGATGAACCACCATGCCCAACCGAATATGGTATTTTTGGGATGGAAGTAAATAACAGATTATACAGTCTAGTTTAAAGAAAAGGAAACAGATGTATATACATAAGAAACCTTTTCTAGTTAACACCAACATTTAATTGGAAAGCAAGATAGATTTGCTAAAGGATACAAAATTATAGCTAAATAGGAGAAATAACTTCAAATGTTCTATAGCACTGTAGGATGAGTATAGTTAACAAAAATATATATTTTCAAATAGCTAGAAGAGAGACTGTTGAATGTTGCCAACAAAAAAAATGATAAATGTTTGAGATGATATATATGCTAATTACCCTAATCTGATCACTATATACTCCATATGTACTCCATAAATCTGTACAATTATTATTTATTAATCAAATAATAATTAAATAAATCACTACGTACTCCATAAATCTGTATAATTATTATTTATTAATTAAAAATGTTTTTAAAAGATTTATTTGGAGATCCAAAAACAGTAGTTGGCTCTGAGAAATTTCAAACCTTTGAAAAAAATTTAATCTGGAAAACTTTCCACCAATTTTACCCAAGATGCAAACACCACTTCCTTATTCTACTCTTCATACTCAGTCTCTGAATCTATATCATTTTCTTGTCACTTAATTTTTGAAAGAATAAAAGGAAGAAAGAGTTGGACAACAAAAATTTTAAGGACTGGCAGGGGCAAATGAAAAGAGATCTCGAGAAAAAAAAACCTGGTACTTTCTACATGCAACCACAGCAACTTCAAACTAGAATTGATTTTAAAGGTGTATTAGCTTTGGTCACTTGAGAAGCAGACATCAGATGAGTTTAGATGTGCAAGAGATACATCGTTAAAGATGAAGGAGTGAAGGTAGATGTACGCAGAATAATACTTTAGACTATGATGCAGTCTGACACCAGTGGAAGGAAAGGAGGAAGGAGGAGATATTGGATAAGAAGAGTCTCACTGCCAGACAGTTTAAGGAATTTCAGCAAGGCCAATGGGGAGTCCCTGAGGCAAAGGTTCTCATTGGAACACTGCTGTGTCCTGCAGAAATGGTCATGCTCCAGCACCCCTGTTGTACTCAGTCATTGGCTGGAAGCATCACAGGGAAGTGTGATGCCTGAACACAATGGAGAATCCAGAGAGATGGCAGCTGGGACTGTCAGTCTACTATGCTCTGCCCAGCAGAAAATCTGAGCAGCAGTATTTATGGCCACTGCAGGCCACCGTATTTTATGACCATTCTTACGTGAAACATGTTTCTGTAGAAGCTCCTCCAGAGTCTTTGTTGGTCTCACTTTGTGAGAAGAAGCTTAGAAGAGAGAGGTTAAAGGGATGAACTACAAATCGTAGTTGCTACAGTTGGCCTTGTGGTCACAACTGGTACTCGTGATCTGCCCCTATTATCCAATGTAAATTCTTCCCACCCACTACTATCATTTCAGCCTGTGCTAGTGGCTGCCAAGTAGCCTAGACATTTCTGAAGTGTCTGAGCCATAATCCTAGCTTTCTCAGGGTTGCTGCATACATTTATTCCAGGTATAGTGGAACAAGAATTACCTGAGGCCAGTCCTCTTTTCCCTCTTTGGCTCCCAGACTCATGCCTTTGTTCTTTTGGGAATACAGGACTATATAGAGGTCTCCAATTATTGTATAGACTAGATCCTAAAAGGTGGCATCTCATTGGTTTCGACTGTTGCCTCTGAGGTGGAGCTTCAATTGTGCCTTTAGAAAACGGATGAACCAGCCAGGTGCTGTGGCTCACACCTGTAATCCCTGTACTTTGGGAGGCCGAGGCAGGCAGATCACGAGGTCAGGAGTTCAAGACCAGCCTCGCCAACATAGTGAAACCCCATCTCTACCAAAAAAAAAAAAAAAAAAAAATTATCCTGGTGTGGTGGCACGCACCTGTAGTCCCAGCTACTCAGGAGGCTGAGGCAGGAGAATCGCTTGAATCTGGGAGGCAGAGGTTGCAGTGAGCTGATACTGCACCATTGTACTCCAGTCCGAGACTCCTCCTCAAAGAGAGAAAGAAAGAAAGAAAGAGAGAGAGAGAGAGAGAGAGAGAGAGAGAGAGAAAGAAAGAAAGAAAGAAAGAAAGAAAGAAAGAAAGAAAGAAAGAAAGAAAGAAAGAAAGAAAGAAAATGGAAGAACCTATATATCTTCAGTATCTTCAGTAACGGCATGAGGCCAATGGCTTCTGAGAAGTACAGTATATTATAATGATAACACCAGTGGGTCCTATCATCATGGGATCACTCTCATACCCTCTTTGCTACACAGTAGGTTTCCTGTTTCAATGCCTTTGTTTGAGATTCTGTGCCTGTGGATTAGGCATTTTGTAAGCCCTCAGATAGTGGTGCTGCTGATTTCTCTGAGCAGGAAAAGTAAACATATATCTAGAATAGAATAGATATTTATCCCTGTGAGGATGAAATATTGACCCTTTCATAAGAGGTGAGGCCCAGTGCAATTGACTTGCCCTCCAAGTGGCCACTGCTTAGTCTTCGTGAGGAAAGGTGCCATATCAGAGGCTCAGAATTGATACCTGTTGCTGACAATTTTGACATTCAGAGGCAGCAATAGCTGGGTCAGCCTTGGTTAGTGGGAGTCCATGCTGCTGGCCCATACATTTCTCCCATCTCTTCACCAGGACCCCCTGTTCATGTGTACATTGAACCAGTTCCAACATGACCTATGGTGAGGACTGGCTAATATTAACTGATCTACTTGAATGTTCAATTCCTCTTTTGGGGTGAATACCTTGTGGTGAGTATTAAAGTGTGATACCAAAATTTTTACACTTTGTGCTCACCCCCATATGTATATGCACATATACTACACCAGACTTACCAATATCTGGTATTCTAATTATTTTCCATGCAGATACATAACCAGAAGTTCAGGTCATAAGTTACTTCACTGTGGTCCAAGGACAGTTGAGAGTAGTTTAAGATGTTTACCTTGGTCTTTTACACCATAACAACTCTTATGCCACAAGCTAGCAACACAATAGAGAGGTTACTGTTACTTCTAAGTATATAGATTTTAGGTATACAGTTCAAAACTAGTTAAATGACAATTGGGTGGGTCTGTGGACCCAGTGGATACAATAGAACCAGAATTTTATTTTATTTTATTGTACAGGTACATAATGGGTGTATATATAGTATGGGGTATATGAGATATTTTGGTACAGGCATATAGTGTGTAATAATCACATCAGGGTAAATGGGATATCCATCACCTCAAACATTGATCACTTCTTTGTGTTAAAAACATTCCAATTATACTCTTTTAGTTACTTTGAAATGTACAATAAATTATTGCGTACTGTAATCACCCTATTGTGCTATCAAATACTAAATCTTATTTATTCTATCTAACTATATTCTTGCACCCATTAACCATCCTCAGTCTGCCCACCCACACTATCCTTTTCACCCTCTGTTTAACATCATTCTACTCTCTATTTCCAAGAGATCAATAGTTTTCATTTTTAGCTCTGCAAAATGAGGGAGAACATGTGAAGTTTGTCTTTCTGTGCCTATCTTATTTTACCTGATATAATGACCTCTGGTTTCATCCATGTTGTTGGAAACGATAAGATCTCATTCTTTATGGTTGAACAATATTCCATTGTGTATATGTGCCACATTTTCTTTATCCATTCATCTGTCGATGGACAATTAGGTTGCTTCCAAATCTTGGCTATTGCAAATAGTGCTGTAATAAAAATGGGAGTGCATACATCTTTTTAATATACTGATTTCCTTTTCTTTGATATATACCTAGCAGTGAGATTGCTGTATCATATGGTAGTTCTATTTTTAGTTTTTTGAGGACCCTCCAAACTGTTCTTCATAGTGGGTGTACTAATTTACATTCCCAACAACATTGTACAAAGGTTCCCTTTCCTCTACATCTTCACTGGCATTTACTGTTGCCTGTCTTATAGATAAAAGCCATTTTAACTGGGGTGAGATGATATCTCATTATGAACCTTTTCATATGCCTGTTTGGCATTTGTATGTCTTCTTTTGAGAAATGTTTCTTGAGGTCTTTTGTCCATTTATAAATTGGATTATTAGATTTTTATTCTATACCGTTGTTTTAGCTCCTTATATATTCTGGTTATTTATCCCTCATCAGAAGGGTAGTGTGCAAATATTTTCTCACATTCTGGGGGTTGTCTCCTCACTTTGTGGATTGCATCCTTTGCTGTGCAGCAGCTTTTTAAGCTGATGTGACCCCATTTGGCTATTTTTGCTTTGGTAACCTGTGCTTTGGGTATTACTCAATAAATCTTTTTCCCAGACCAATGTTCTGGAGTTTTCCAAATGTTTTATTTCACTAGTTTTATGGTTTGAGGTCTTAAATTTAAGCTTTTAATCATTTTTATTTAACTTTTGTGTATGGCAAAAGAATGGAATCTAGTTTCCTCCTTCTGCATATGAATATTCAGTTTCCCAGCATCATTTATTGAAGAGACTGTCCTTTCTCTTATGTATTTTCTTGGCACCTTTGTCAAAAATGAGTTCACTGTAGATATATAGATTTTTTTCTGTGTTCCCTATTCTGTTCCATTGAGCCATGTGCCTGTTTTTATGGCAGTACCATACTGTTTTGGTTACTATAGCTCTGTAGTAGAATTTGAAGCCAGGTAATATGATGACTTCAGTTTTTTTTTTTTTTCCTCAGGATGGCATTGGCTATTCTGGGTCTTTTATGGTTCCATATAAATTTTAGCACTTTTTTTTTGCTATTTCTGTGAAGAATGTGTTTGGTAATTTAATAAGAATTGCATTGAATTTGTAGATTGCTTTGGGTACTATGAACATTTTAACATTAATTCTTCCAATCCATGAACGTGAAATATCCTTTTTGTGTGTGTCTGCTTCAATTTCTTGCACCAATGTTTTATAGTTTTCCTTGTAGAGATCTTTCACTTATTTGGCTAAGTTTATTCTTCAGTATTTTACTTTACTCATGACTCTTGTAATTGGGATTACTTTCTTGATTTTTTGTTCAGGTTGTTTGCTTTTGGCATATAGAAATGCTAGTAATTTTTGCATGTTACTTTTGTATCCTGCAACTTTACTAAAATTTTAAATAAGTTTTAATAGTTTTTTTAGAGGAGTCTTTGGGTTTTTCTGAATATGAGATCATACCATCTCCAAATAAGGATAATTTGACTTCTTCCTTTCCAATTTGGATGCTTTTTATTTCTTTCTCTTGTCTGACTGCTCTAGCTAGGATTCTAGTACTATGTTGAATAACAGTGGTGAAAGTAGATATAGAATCAAAATTTTAGCTGGGTATCCCTTTATTATATGGCTCCTGCAAACTCCCTCCCAACAGGGGAGTCAAGATGATGCTTTGAGTCACTGAATATTAACGTCAACTCAGAACTTATGCCATATTTTTCCTCAATATGTCTAGATATTCTCTGTTCCCCACTATATAGTCACCTGTATAAATGGCTGTAGATTAATTAATGAAAGGATTGTGGGAATCATATTTGCCACAGTCTTCTTAAAAAGTCATCCCCCTGGGGACCCATTCACTTTATTAGTTGACAAGTTCTGAATTTGAAAATTGGCTCAAACCTGGAAACTGAGCAAGGGATCATGCATGGCTTTTTATTGGGATGGCACTCCTCAGTCTCCTCCTTCTTCATTCTTGTCTTGTTTGGTTATAGATATTAAACCATATCCTTATTGCCTAGCTGTCTGTTTCCCCCTAGGGATGCCACGCACTGTTAACCATGTCCATTACTCTCTGTGGGCCAAGACTTATTGGCTGCTCTTCTGACCTTGATGGTCATTACGATAATTGTGTCCTGATTTCTGGCAGCTAAACATCACCACCTGGCCTCTATTATTTCAGATCTGTCTTATCTCCATAAATATTAATGAGCCCTGGACTGGGACCATCTCTCTTACCATCAGCTCTGGCCTGTGGAGGTGAGCCACCCTTGAATTTGTTAGTAACACTGGTGTTCCTCCCATCAGTGCCAGTGCATTCTTGACAGTCTTGGCAAATGGCATTTTATATACATGGGCTTTCCATGTATTATGTTATCATGTTGTCTTGCATTGTAATATAATATATCTATTCTAGTATTTTTACTTCCTTAAACTTTCTAATTCTTAATCTACCATCTTTCAGGGAAACAGGCATTTTCCCTTAACTCAGGATGAAGCCATTCATTTCTCCTAGTCAATAAGTGAAACAGATCCAAAATCTAATACCAAAACCTATAATTATAATAAAAATGAGTAATTTGGAAACTTAATGAGATATATAATCTTATTATATACAGTTATAATTTGTGTAAATATTTTGAGGCTAAGAAATGGTGTTAACTATTCTTAGATATGAGTTAACTATTGCTTTTTTCTCCTTTCCTAGGCCAAGCACATCCAAGCCAGGTTAAGCTGGTATTTAACATATATATAGAAAAAAATGGTGTAGCTTCTGAAGGGTTTACCTGTTTCCTTGTGGGAAAGTTGCATCTTCGGTGCCTTTTAGAGGTAATGGCTATCCCATGTGAGATCATTTCTCCCTCAGAGCAACCAGCAAACACCACCAGGTGAACTGGTGACACAACTGAGATGGATCAACTGGAGCCCCAGTAACAATAACCTGAAAGGAAAAGAGCTCTTCTTCCCTGTAAGCAGGACTTCAACTCCCATTGCCCACTAAAAGGAACCAAATGAGACAGGGTAAAATGCAAGATACAGAAAAGGGGATCCTTTTACAAGTGCTCATCTATGTAAACCTCTATACTCCCAAGAGCCAGAGACTCTTGTCCTCTATCTTTCTCATGAGGGAATGGGAATTGCTTTGGAAAACTCTTTTCACCCTGATATAGCTTGGATATTTGTCCCTCCACATCTCATGTTCCAGCCAATAGGTGGAATGGATTCAAAATCTAATACCAAAGCCTTTAATCAATATTTTGATTAATTATAATCAAAATAACTACTTTGGAACATTAAGGGGATACATAAAATTATTATATACAGATATAATATTGTAACTGCTAATGTTGGAGATGGGGTCCGGTGGGAGGTGTTTTGGTCATGGGAATGGATTCCTCACGGCTTGGTGCTGTCTTCATGACAGGGAGTGACTTTGTACAAGATCTGGTTGTTTAAAAGTTTGTGACATCTCCCCCTTACACTATCTCTTGCTCCCACTCATGTCACGTAAGAAACCTGCTCTTCCTTCACCTTCTGCCATGATTGTAAGCTTCGTGAGGTCCTTGTCAGAAGTTGATGCAGGGGCTATGCTTCCTGTACAGCCTGCAGAACAGTGAGCTAATTAAATCTCTTTGCTTATAAATTAGCCAGCCCAGGTATTTCTTTATAGTAATGCAAGAATGGTCTAAGACAGAAAATTGGTACCAATGATGGGGAATTGCTGTAAAGATACCTGAAAATGTGAAATCAGCTTTAGAACTGGGTAATAGGCAGAGGTTCAAAGAGTTTGGAGGGCTCAGAAGAAAATACAAAGATGAGGAAAAGTTTGAATCTTCTTAGAGACTGGTTAAATGGTGATGACCAAAATGCTGGCAGTGATATGGACAGTGAAGTTCAGGCTGAAGAGGTTCAGATGAAATGAAGAGGTTATTGAGAACTGAAGAAAAGGCCACTCTTGTTATACTTTAGCAAAAAACTTGGCTGCATTTTGAACATTCCCTATGGATCTGTTAAAGTTTGAACTTAAGAGGCTTGACTTAAAGTTTCTGGTGGAAGAAATTTCTAAGCATCAGGCATTCAAGATTCAGCCTGGATGCTTCTAAGTGCCTATGCTCAGAAGCTACGGCAAAGAAATCACTTAAAGTTGGAAGTTATATTTAAAGGGGAAGCAGAGTGCAAACATTTGGAAAATTTGCAACCTGGCCAGGTGGTATACAAGAAAAACCCATTTTCTGTTTTTTTTTTAAATTTTATTATTATTATACTTTAAGTTTTAGGGTACATGTGCACAACGTGCAGGTTTGTTACATGTCTACACATGTGCCATGTTGGTGTGTTGCAACCATTAACTCGTCATTTAACATTAGGTATATCTCCTAATGCTATCCCTCCCCCCTCCCCCCACCCCACAACAGGCCCTGGTGTGTGATGTTCCCCTTCCTGTGTCCATGGGTTCTCATTGTTCAATTCCCACCTATGAGTGAGAACATGTGGTGTTTGGTTTTCTTTCCTTGCGATAATTTGCTGAGAATGATGATTTCTAGTTTCATCCATGTCCCTACAAAGGACATGAACTCATCATTTTTCATGGCTACATAGTATTCCATGGTGTATATGTGCCACATTTTCTTACTACAGACTATGGTTGCTGGACATTTAGGTTGGTTCCAAGTCTTTGCTATTGTGAGTAGTGTCGCTATAAACATACGTGTGCATGTATCTTTCTAGCAGCATGATTTATAATCCTTTGGGTATATACCTAGTAATGGGATGGCTGGGTCAAATGGTATTTCTAGTTCTAGATCCCTGAGGAATCACCGCACTGACTTCCAGAATGGTTGAACTAGTTTACAGTCCCACCAGCAGTGTAAAAGTGTTCCTATTTCTCCACATCCTCTCCAGCACCTGTTGTTTCCTGACTTTTTAATGATCGCCATTCTAACTGGTGTGAGATGGTATCTCATTGTGGTTTTGATTTGCATTTCTCTGATGGCCAGTGATGAGGAGCATTTTTTCATGTGTCTTTTGGCTGCATAAATGTCTTCTTTTGAGAAATGTCTGTTCATACCCTTCGCCCAATTTTGATGGGGTTGTTTGTTTGTTTCTTGTAAATTTGTTTGAGTTCATTGTAGATTCTGGATATTAGCCCTTTGTCCAATGAGTAGGTTGCAAAAATTTTCTCCCATTCTGTAGGTTGCCTGTTCACTCTGATGGTAGTTTCTTTTGCTGTGCAGAAGCTCTTTAGCTTAATTAGATCCCATTTGTCAATTTTGGCTTTTGTTGCCATTGCTTTTGGTGTTTTAGACATGAAGTCCTTGCCCATGCCTATGTCCTGAATGGCATTGCCTAGGTTTTCTTCTAGGGTTTTTATGGTTTTAGGTCTAACATGTAAGTCTTTAATCCATCTTGAATTAATTTTTGTATAACGTGTAAGGAAGGGATCCAGTTTCAGCTTTCTACATATGGCTAGCCAGTTTTCCCAGCACCATTTATTAAATAGGGTACCCTTTCCCCATTGCTTGTTTTTGTCAGGTTTGTCAAAGATCAGATGGTTGTAGATATGTGGCATTATTTCTGAGGGCTCTGTTCTGTTCCATTGGTCTATATCTCTGTTTTGGTACCAGTACCATGCTGCTTTGGTTACTATAGCCTTGTAGTCTAGTTTGAAGTCAGGTAGCATGATGCTTCCAGCTTTGTTCTTTTGGCTTAGGATTGCCTTGGCAATGTGGGTTCTTTTTTAGTTCCATATGAACTTTAAAGTAGTTTTTTCCAATTCTGTGAAGAAAGTCATTGGTAGCTTGAAGGGGATGGCATTGAATCTATAAATTACCTTGGGCAGTATGGCCATTTTCACGATATTGATTCTTCCTACCCATGAGCATGGAATGTTCTTCCATTTGTTCGTATCCTCTTTTACTTCATTGAGCA
Organism: Homo sapiens; assembly: GCF_000001405.40. Taxonomy (NCBI): domain Eukaryota; kingdom Metazoa; phylum Chordata; class Mammalia; order Primates; family Hominidae; genus Homo; species Homo sapiens. The sequence continues at coordinate 49,062,118 of NC_000006.12, read as the reverse complement.
GTGGTTTGTAGTTCTCCTTGAAGAGGTCCTTCACATCCCTTGTAAGTTGTATTCCTAAGTATTTTATTATCTTTGAAGCAATTATGAATGGGAGTTCACTCATGATTCGGCTCTCTGTTTGTCTGTTATTGGTGTATAAGAATACTTGTGATTTTTGTACACAGATTTTGTATCCTGAGACTTTTCTGAAGTTGCTTATCAGCTTGAGGAGATTTTGGGCTGAGACAATGGGGTTTTCTAGATATACAATCATGTCATCTGCAAACAGGGACAATTTGACTTCCTCTTTTCCTAATTGAATACCCTTTATTTCCTTCTCCTGCCTGATTGCCCTGGCCAGAACTTCCAACACTATGATGAATAGGAGTGGTGAGAGAGGGCATCCCTGTCTTGTGCCCAATTTCAAAGGGAATGCTTCCAGTTTTTGCCCATTCAGTATGATATTGGCTGTGGGTTTGTTATAGATAGCTCTTATTATTTTGAGATATGTCCCATCAATACCTAATTTATTGAGAGTTTTTAGCATGAAGAGTTGTTGAATTTTGTCAAAGGCCTTTTCTGCATCTATTGAGATAATCATGTGGTTTTTGTCTTTGGTTCTGTTTATATGCTGGATTACATTTATTGATTTTTGTATGTTGAACCAGCCTTGCATCCCAGGGATGAAGCCCACTTGATCATGGTGGATAAGCTTTTTGATGTGCTGCTGGATTTGGTTTGCCAGTATTTTATTGAGGATTTTTGCACCGATGTTCATCAAGGGTATTGGTCTAAAATTCTCTTTTTTTATTGTGTCTCTGCCAGGCTTTGGTATCAGGATGATACTAGCCTCATAAAATGAGTTAGGAAGGATTCCCTCTTTTTCTATTGATTGGAATAGTTTCGGAAGGAATGGTACCAGCTCCTCTTTGTACCTCTGGTATAATTTGGCTGTGAATCCATCTGGTCCTGGACTTTTTTTGGTTGGTAAGCTCTTAATTATTGCCTCAATTTCAGAGCCTGTTATTGGTCTATTCAGAGATTCAACTTCTTCCTGGTTTAGTCTTGGGAGGATGTATGTGTTGAGGAATTTATCCATTTCATCTAGATTTTCTAGTTTATTTGTGTAGAGGTGTTTGTAGTATTCTCTGATGGTAGTTTGTATTTCTGTGGGATCGGTGGTGATATCCCCTTTATCATTTTTTATTGCATCTATTTGATTCTTCTCTCTTTTCTTCTTTATTAGTCTTGCTAGTGGTCTATCAATTTTGGTGGTCTTTTCAAAAAACCAGCTCCTGGATTCATTAATTTTTTGAAGGGTTTTTTGTGTCTCTATTTCCTTCAGTTCTGCTCTGATCTTAGTTATTTCTTGCCTTCTGCTAGCTTTTGAATGTGTTTGCTCTTGCTTTTCTAGTTCTTTTAATTGTGATGTTAGGGTGTCTATTTTAGACCTTTCCTGCTTTCTGTTGTGGGCATTTAGTGCTACAAATTTCCCTCTACATACTGCTTTGAATGTGTCCCAGAGATTCTGGTATGTTGTGTCTTTGTTCTCGTTGGTTTCAAAGAACATCTTTATTTCTGCCTTCATTTCATTATGTACCCAGTAGTCATTCAGGAGCAGGTTGTTCAGTTTCCATGTAGTTGAGCAGTTTTGAGTGAGTTTCTTAATCCTGAGTTCTAGTTTGATTGCACTGTGGTCTGAGAGACAGTTTTATATAATTTCTGTTCTTTTACATTTGCTGAGGAGTGCTTTACTTCCAACTATGTGGTCAATTTTGGAATAGGTGTGGTGTGGTGCTGAAAAGAATGTATGTTCTTTTGATTTGGGGTGGAGAGTTCTGTAGATGTCTATGAGGTCTGTTTGGTGCAGAGCTGAGTTCAATTCCTGGGTATCCTTGTTAACTTTCTGTCTCGTTGATCTGTCTAATGTTGACAGTGGGGTGTTAAAGTCTCCCGTTATTATTGTGTGGGAGTCTAAGTCTCTTTGTAGGTCACTCAGGACTTGCTTTATGAATCTGGATGCTCCTGTATTGGGTGCATATATATTTAGGATAGTTAGCTCTTCTTGTTGAATTGATCCCTTTACCATTATGTAATGGTCTTCTTTGTCTCTTTTGATCTTTGTTGGTTTGAAGTCTGTTTTATCAGAGACTAGGATTGCAACCCGTGCCTTTTTTTGTTTTCCATTTGCTTGGTAGATCTTCCTCCATCCCTTTATTTTGAGCCTATGTGTGTCTGTGTACATCAGATGGGTTTCCTGAATACAGCACACTGATGGGTCTTGACTCTTTATCCAATTTGCCAGTCTGTGTTTTTTAATTGGAGCATTTAGCCCATCTATATTTAAAGTAAATATTGTTATGTGTGAATTTGATCCTGTCATTATGATGTTAGCTGGTTATTTTGCTTGTTACTTGATGCAGTTTCTTCCTAGCTTTGATGGTCTTTACAATTTGGCATGTTTTTGCAGTGGCTGGTACTGGCCGTTCCTTTCCATGTTTAGTGCTTCCTTCAGGAGCTCTTTTAGGGCAGGCCTGGTGGTGACAAAATCTCTCAGCATTTGTTTTTCTGTAAAGGATTTTATTTCTCCTTCACTTATGAGGCTTAGTTTGGCTGGATATGAAATTCTGGGTTGAAGATTCTTTTCTTTAAGAATGTTGAATATTGGCCCCCACTCTCTTCAGGCTTGTAGAGTTTCTGCCAAGAGATCAGCTGTTAGTTTGATGGGCTTCCCTTTGTGGGTAACCCGACATTTCTCTCTGGCTACCCTTAACATTTTTTCCTTCATTTCAACTTCGGTGAATCTGACAATTATGTGTCTTGGAGTTCCTCTTCTTGAGGAGTATCTTTGTGGCTTTCTCTGTATTTCCTGAATTTGAATGTTGGCCTGCCTTGCTAGATTGGGGAAGTTCTCCTGGATAATATCCTGCAGAGTGTTTTCCAGCTTGGTTCCATTCTCCCCATCACTTTCAGGTACACCAATCAGACGTAGGTTTGGTCTTTTCACATAGTCCCATGTTTCTTGGAGGCTTTGTTCATTTCTTTTTATTCTTTTTTCTCTAAGCTTCTCTTCTCGCTTCATTTCATTCATTTCATCTTCCATCGCTGATACCCTTTCTTCCAGTTGATCGCATCAGCTACTGAGGCTTCTGCATTCATCAAGTAGCTCTCCTGTCTTGGTTTTCAGCTCCATCAGGTCCTTTAAGGACTTCTCTGCATTGGTTATTCTAGTTATCCATTAGTCTATTTTTTTTTCCAAAGCTTTTAACTTCTTTGCCATTGGTTCGAATTTCCTCCTGTAGCTCAGAGCAGTTTGATCATCTGAAGGCTTCTTCTCTCAACTCGTCAAAGTCATTCTCCGTCCAGCTTTGTTCCATTGCTGGTGAGGAGCTGAGTTCCTTTGGAGGAGGAGAGGCGCTCTGATTTTTAGAGTTTCCAGTTTTTCTGCTCTGTTTTTTTCCCATCTTTGTGGTTTTATCTACCTTTGGTCTTTGGCGATGGTGATGTACGATGGGTTTTTGGTGTGGGTGTCCTTTCTGTTTGTTAGTTTTCCTTCTAACAGACAGGACCCTCAGCTGCAGGTCTGTTGGAGTTTGCTAGAGGTCCACTCCAGATCCCGTTTGCCTGAGTATCAGCAGCGGTGGCTGCAGAACAGCGGATATTGGTGAACCACAAATGCTGCTGCCTGATTTTTCCTCTGCAAGTTTTGTCTTAGAGGAGTACCCGACCGTGTGAGGTGTCAGTCCGCCCCTACTGGGGGGGTGCCTCCCAGTTAGGCTACTTGGGGTTCAGGGACGCACTTGAGGAGGCCATCTGCCCATTCTCAGATCTCAAGCTGAGTGCTGGGAGAACCCCTACTCTCTTCAAAGCTGTCAGAGAGAGACATTTAAGTCTGCAGAGGTTACTGCTGTAAAAGCCCATTTTCAGGAGAAGAATCCAAGTGGGCTGTGGAGTAACAATTTGCTAGAGATATTTGCATCACTAAAAGGAGTCAGGTGCTGATAGATAAGACAATGAGAAAAAGGCCTTGAAAGTATTTCAGAGATCTTTAGCTCCCAGAGACATCACAGGCCCCGAGACATAGGAAGAAAGAATGATTTCTTAGGCCAGGCCCATGGCCCTGCTGCCCTGTGCAGCCTCAGGATACTGCCCATATACAGGCTACTCCACCTCCAGAGCTGCTGAAAATACCCCTGATATAGCTCAGGCCACTCTTTTGGAGGATGCAAGCCATAAGCCATGATAACTTCCATGTGGTGTTAAGCCTGTAGGCATGCAGAGTGCAAGAGTAAAAGAGACCTGTCAACTTCTGCCTAGATTTCAGAGGATGTGTGAGAAAGCCTGGGTTCCCAGGCAGAAGCCTGTTGCAGATGTGGGATCCTAACAGAACCTCCACCAGGGCAGTATGGAGGGGAAATGTGGGGTTGGAGGCCCCACACTGGGTACCCACTGGGGTACTGCTTAGTGGAGCTGTGGGAAGGTGGCCACCATCCTCCAGACCCCTTAGTAATAGATCCATTGGCAGTTTGAACCCTATGCCTGGAAAAGCTGCAGGTACTCAACTCCAACCCAGGAGAACCACTGCAGGAGCTAAACCCTAAAAAGCCACAGGACCAGGGCTGGTCAAGGCCTTGAGAGCCCATCCCTTACAGTTGTGTTCCCTGTATGATAGACATGGAGTCAAAAGATATTGTTTTGAAGCTTTAAGATTTAATTGCTACCCTGATGGGTTTTGAACTTGCATGATGCCTGTAGCCCTTGCTTTTGACTGATTTCTCACTTTTGGAACATAAATGTTTATCCAATAGCTTGTACCCTTATTGTATCTTGAAAGTAAATAACTTCTTTGGTTTCACAGGTTCATAGGTAGAAGGAACTCAACTCCAGATGAGACTTTGGTCTTGGGACTTTTGATTCAGCTGATGCTGCAATGAGTTAAGACTTTGGGCAACTATTGGGAAGATATAACTGTGTTTTGCAATGTGAAGAGGACATGAGATTTGAGGGGCCAGGGCAGAATAATATACTTTGGATATTTGCCCCCTCAAAACCTATGTTGCCATGTAATCCCCAACGTTGGAGATGTGGCCTGGTATGAGGTATTTGGGTTATAGAAGCAGCTTGGTGCTGTCCTCATAATAGTGAGTGAGTTTTCATGAGATCTGGTTGTTTAAAACTGTATGCCACCCCCCTTCTTGTTCCCAGTCTTTCCATGTGAGACGCCTGCTCCCCCTTCACCTTCCACCATAATTGTAAGCTTCCTGATGCTAGAAACAGATTCCTCACTAGAAACAGATTGCCTCAGGTGCAGTGCTTCCTGTATAGTCTGCAGAACTGTGAGCCAATTAAACCTGCTTTTTAATAAATTAGCCGACCAAGATATTTTGTTATAGCAATGCAAGGACCACCTAGCACACATCCCTTCAGGCTGCACAAGCAGAAAAAAAAGGAAAGCGTTGAAGCTTTCATCAAAAGCTTCAATCTGGTGATTGAAGACACCAGATAAATCAAGCCAAATTTTTAAAAAACACAACAAAGTTTCTGAAAATTATTATTGTAACCAAAGTCTGAAATCCAATTTTAAAATGGACTAAAGACATGAAGAGGATACACAAAAGGCACATACATAAATTGAAAAATATTCAACATCATTTAATCATTACAGAAATAAAAATTAATCTTGCAGTGAGATATCACTATATACCTATCAGACTTGATAAAATGAGCAATAAAGATAACACCAAATACTCACAGGGACATGGAGAAACTGAATCACTTATACATAGCTGGTGAGAATGTTAAATGTTACACTCACTCTGGAAAATAATTTGGTGGTTTCTCATAAAATTAAAAATGCAATTGCCATTCGACCCAGCAATTGTATTTTTGGTCTATTTCAAAGAAATGAAAATTTATATTCACACGATCTATACCCAAATGTTCACAATGGCTTTGTTCAAAATAGACACAATCTTAAAAACCCCAGATGATTTTTAATTAGTGAATGGTTAAAGAAACTGTAGTGTATTTATACAATGGAATATCACTTAGCAATATAAAGAAACAAAGTATTGTTACACACATCAACATGAACGAATCTCTAAGAATTATGAGAGTGAATTATGCTGATTCTAAAGGGTTACATATTATGTGATTTCATTTATATAACATTTTTGAAATTACAACATTATAGTAGTGGAAAACAGGTAAGTGGCTGTGAGTGTGTTATAAAAGACCAACATAGGGGCTACTTGTGATAATGGAACTATTCTGTATCTTGGCTGTGGTGGTGGATACATGGACCTACATAAATGATAAAATTGGATAGAACTAAACACATATAAAAGTATAAATAAAACTGGATATTCGAATAAGACCCATGGATTGTATCACTGTCAATCCTGTTTGTGATAATGCTATATAGTTTTGCAAGATGAAACCACTGGGGGAACTGAATAAAGGATATATGGGATTTCTCTGTCTTATTTCTTACAACTTCAAGTGAATCTACAGTTATCTTCAAATAAAATATTTAATTTAAAATTTAATGGAGGAAAACATACCGTGTCAGTTCAAGGGAGGAAGATATTTTAAATAAATTATTAAATAAGAGTAAATCTTGGTATTAGAAAATGCCAACAGTTCACATTTCTGGAAATCTTTCATGCAAAACTAGGCAAGCCCTGAGGCAGGAAATAGGGGGTAAAATGTTCCATAAAGTCTGTTTCTGAAAAAGAAGAATGTTCCAGGGAGGAAAATAAATTGCATGAAAAGCCAAACTGAGAGCTGATGTCTTAAACATCTTTTAAGTCAGGAGAGGTACAAAGTCAGGTACAAAGTTTACATCCACTTGGTAACTTTGCCAGTCCAATCATGAACGATACTTTGGAAACTATTTTTTGGAATGTATTTCTCTGACCAGCATTCCTAGGTATCAGGAAAATCTCAAGACCTGACGAACATTGAGGAAATTTTCAGACATTATCAAGGATTTACACAGAGAACAGAGAACAATTGCAGAAAGAAGTGAAAAATATTGCAAGAAGTTTAAAAAAAAAAAAAAAAAACAAAGAGCAGTGAAACAAGTGAAATAGGTGCTGGCTAAATGGCTAGAAAGTGGCAAATAGGAATCTCTCAACTGTGAAATTAAGATCGCCTTATCCAAAAAAGTCTAGTATGTATATCTTCTGTCAATTGATACTTGCTAAAAGTGAACGATCTTAACAAAAGCGAATCCTTATCTGTGCTTTTAAAATTTTGGTCTTCTTCTCATCCTGTTAGAATGGCTAAAGAATTTGAAAATAAATGCTATCAATTAAAATTTTTTAAAGTATGGGAGTTAACCTAAGTACTCTATCACAAAACATGATGGCATTGGAGTTGCTTACAAAGATACTAGTGTGTTTTATGTTCTTAAAAATCTAAGGTATTGGATATAAATTTCTGTTAAACACAAAATATCTTCTGCATTTCGATAGTCATTTGCTTCAATACAAATAATGTTTTCAGTTATTTGGCTTTAACTGTTGCAACTAAAGACTTACTCATGTCTCATTTATTTGAGAGGCAGTTATTTTCTTGGTAGTAATAAGGTAGTCATTGCTCACTCATACCCAATTCAGACTGCTAATGTTCACCTGAAATTGTTTTTCATTACCTCAGGATAAGGAGTGCCAATCTTTATCATTTGAGTACTTAAAGAAGCATCTGCTATAAAGTAAGGAGTTGAAGTATATCTGGAACCAGGGCATGCTTTCTGGTAGCCACAGAGGGCCCCACGTCAAGGGGCGCAACACTTGGTTTCATACTTTGCTCTCACGGTCTTGAAATTCTTAGCAATTTCTGAACAAGGGTTCCAGAACTTTTACTTTGTATTGGGGTCCTGAAAATTATTTATCTAGTCCTGGTGGAACTCCTTGATTTGATATACCTGGAATTCAGCTCCTAGTAAATTTGGCATGGAGGTGACAACTTTGCTTACTTCCATTTCTCTCAGTGCTGGGGATTCAACGTGCCAGTTTCTGACAGGCCTTTTCAGAAACTACCTGAAATGTTTTATTTACTCAAGAGATAGTTTACTCAGAGTGGAAAATCTGAACAAACAAACAAACAGAGAACAGGAGAGGGAATGTGGCAAACCAAACCTGAGTCCAGTTCTGTCAATTACAAGAGAAAGCTAGAGGAAGACACTTTCTCCTGTCCACGTGTTGCTGCCTGTGATAAAACAGTGTATGCTATTGCCTATAAAATAATCATTAAGAATTTCAAAGGTCCCACTTATTTTTAAAATGTCCTGCCAGTATTTGTTTTTAGCTTTTATTTTAGTTTCAGGGGTACATGTGCAGTAATACTGTGTGTCATGTGGGTTTCTTTTACCTGTCACCCAGGTAAGGAGCATAGTACCCTATAGGTAGTTTTTTGATCTTCACTCACTTCCCACCCTCTACTTTGAAGTAGGCCCCTATGTCTATTCGTCCCTTCTTTGTGTCTGTGTGTACTCAATGTTTAGCTCCTATTAATAAGTGAGAACATGTGGTATTTGGTTTTCTGTTCCTCCATTAGTTTGTTTAGGATAATGGCCTCTAGCTCCATCCCTGCTGCTGCCAAGTACACAGTCTTATTCATTTTTATGGCTGTGTAGTATTCCATGGTGTATATGTACCACATTTTATTTTTCCAGTCCACTGTTGATAGGCACCTGGATTGACTTCATGTCTTTGCTATTGTGAATAGTGCTGTGATGAACATATGCATGCATATATCTTTATGGTAGAGTAATTTGTATTCCTTTGGTTGTATACCCAATAATAGGATTAATGGGTAGAATGGTAGTTCTATTTTAATTTATTGGAGACATTACAAAACTGCTTTCCACAGTGTTTGAACTAATTTACATTTCCATCAGCAATGTGTAAGCATTCTCCCTAATTTTTTTGCAACCTCACCTGCATCTGTTATCTTTTGACTTCTTTTTAATAGTAGTCATTCTGACTAGTATGAATACTATCTCACTGTGGTTTTGACTTGCTTTTCTCTAATGATTAGTGATGTTGAGAATTTTTTTCATGTGCTTGTTGGCTGTGCGTATGTCTTCTTTTGAAAAGTGCTTGTTCATATCCTTTGCTTGCTTTTCGATATTATTTTTGTTTTGCTTTCTGCTTGTTGATTTACTTAAGTTCCTTATAGATTATGAATATTAGACCATTGTCAGATGCATAGTTTGCAAATATTTTCTCCCATTCTGTGGGCTGGTTGTTTAATCTGTTGACAGTTTCTTTTGCTGTGTGGAAGCTCTTTAGTTTAATTAGATCCCACTTTTCAATTTTTGTTTTTGTTGCAATTGCTTTTGGCATCTTCTTCATGAAGTCTTTGCCAGGACATATGTCCAGAATGGTATTTCATAAGTTTCCTTCAATGGTTTTTTATAGGTTTAGGTGTTACATTTAGGTTTTTAATCCATCTTGAGTTGATTTTTCTATATGGTGTAAAGACAGGGTCCAGTTTCAATTCTCTTTGTATGTGTTCTGCCAGTATTATAATGCTACTGTCCTAGAAAATATCTTAAGCAACAGAGAAAGAAAACATGCAATCTACTTCTAAATCTTGGAAAAGAGATTAGATGAAATGGATACAAACTTTCAGAACAGAAAAATACTCCATAAATATTCATTCCATGAGTATTGTGGAATTATAAAATTGTTCATAGATTTTATATATGATTGGATATATTCACTGTGATATACATGTATATAAATGGTTGAGTGCTGAAAAATAGATTCCCTTCTCAGATTTAATTGCAGTAGTGAACTTCCTTTTTTATTTCTGTTTTTTTAGGAGCTTTACTAATACTTAATTTATATCTCAAAATATTCATCCATTATAATATACAATTCAATAGCATATATAATATGGAGAGGCAGAGAAAGAGAGAGAAGAAAATAGAGGAATTTCTTATAAGGAATTGGCTCACACAATTATGAAAGCTGGCGAGTCCAAAATCTACAGTGTAGGCTGGTAGGCTAGAGACCGAGGGGAGTGAATAGTGTGATGGTGTAGATAAGTCCAAAGGCAGTCTACTGAAAAACTCCCCCCTGTTTGTGGAGACTAATCTTTTTGTTCTTGTTAGGCCTTCAACTGATTAAATGAGGCTACCCACATTATGGAGGGGAATTTGCTTACGCAGTGTTCACCAATTTAAATGGTAATCTCATCCAAAAAATACCCTACAAGTTGATACATGCAATTAACCATTACACTCAATAACTCAAAATTCTGGCATTTTCAGACATTAAGTCCTATCATTATCCCTTTCACTGTCTTTAATGTCAGTCTACATACCTTCCCATGGCTCTTTAGTTGAGGAGCTGCCTAGAAGTGGCTTCAAGTACTTCATTATAAGTTTACAAGTTTTTAAGGAGTATCTCAGAAGAGAGTTCAAAATAATGTAATTGAATCTTAGAACAATTTGAATAAAATAATGAGAATTTATTGCATCTACTTTTTATGTGTATGCTATATACTTTATAAATATTTCAAAATCTTTTTTGAAGTTACTAGCAAAAGACTAAATATTTCATTCTGGAAAAAACATAGAAAACATCAAAAACGGGTTCAAGTTGCACATTGGCATGTATTTAGACAGGCTGAATCAGCTGCAATTTTGCACATGTGCCTGCATATTTTAAATGGAGAATACACTAGAGAAATGTGTTTGAATATTTAAAAGTAGAATGAAGAGAAATGGTATTCTTTTTGCATAAAAACACAAAGAACAAAGAAGTGTGCACAAATGCTTTTAAATTACTATTTTGAAAAAAAATTTGAAAATTTTTTTTTACTCAAGCTTATATATCCAATCCATAGCATATTTTCAAAGTGTTTCTAGAAATCACTTTGAACATGTCAGAAAATTGAAATCTTAAACACGCTCAAAGAAATATCTTGCTTAATGCCTACATCAATTTAACCTTCACGTCATTGATTTTACAGTAAATTCATCAAAGAAAACTTTCAAAAAATATTGCTCCTCAGTACAATCTGATGACTATTAACAAAGTTAAATACAAATAGCACAAATAAAGCAAAATTTGCCAATACTCCAGAAGTTCCTTTTGTAGGTTTTTAAATTTCAAATGTCTTATTTTATTCATGTATTCTTTCTTTCATTTACTTAATTATCACATTTGTAAATATGTATTTTGCAGTGAATCATCAAAACACACATGATACCTGCCCTTTTGGCACCTATAATATAGAGGGTGAAGTAGATATTAAGTGATCACACAAATATACTTATAAAGTCTTAAACGTATCATGTGGGAAAAGTATAAGTTGTCATGAAATTCTATGAATGGATTTGACTCAGTATGAGACATCAAGGATGCCTATTTTAAGAGAAAAATCATGTGTGTTGAAAGCCAACAGTTGAAGAGTAGTTTAATATGAAAAGAAGGTTTGAACAGAATATTTTAAGCAGATGGGAGAAACTGCAAGTGCAAAGACCTTCATTGTGAGGGAGCATAGTTTTCTGAAAGCTGAATAAAGTTCTAGGGTCTAAGCAGAAAGTGAGCTGGGGAGAGGCAGTGACAGCAGATGAATGCAGGATGAGAATAAGCAGGGCAGTTTAGGGCATGCTAAGAACTTTAGCCTTTTTAATGAGATCTCCATTTTTAAAAGATCACTTTTTTTCCATATGTAGAATGGATTGAAACAAAGGCAGTAATCTGAGTTGAAAGCCGTTAGCTGATTGTCGAAGTGGTCCAAGAAAGAGAGGAAGGTAGGTAAAACTGTGGGGGTGAACTTATTAAGATGAATTAAAGAAGCCAGTTTTGAGAAATATTTAGAAGGTGATTTAATAATAAATGAAGACATATGAATCATGAGTGTGAAGAAGTAGGAGGAACCAAGGATAAATGCTAGATTTCTGACTTGCACAATTATATAAATCATTGCTTTGTTCATAAAATGTATCACCCTAGAAAAAGAGCTGGTTTGAGGGAAAGATAATAAATTTAATTTCAGACATACTTAGTTGAGAAGTCTTTAAGATATCTCAGCTAGACATGTTAGGAAAGTAGTTACATGTAAGAGTATAGATGCAAAGAAAGAGAGATCATTTGTTTTTTAAAAATTGCATACATATTTTATTTGAAGAAAATATCGTGGATTATAGTAGAGTTAAAAGATTATAGAGATGATTCTTCCAGAAAAAAAAGGAATTTGGAAAGATCTTTGAGGAACTTAAAATTTAAAGGTCAGGGATAGGATAATGAACTGGTAAAGATGACTAAGAAAAGGCCACAAGTACACTGAACTGTTTTATTTCTTCTAAATTAGAAGTACTTAACAGAGGTGAATGAACTGGTGAGTTCCCCAATGACCATATTTTGGAAAATTTGGATGGGGTTCTTTATTCTGCAACCCAGAAGCATAGTTGCTTTATGCTTTTTCCACTAGCAGGTTACTCAGCCTCTCATGCACTATTAATGGGTCTTTGGAACAGTCTCTCCACACAAAAAATTAAGATTGTTGTTGCCCTAAATTTCAAGTTAGAGTTTCAATTCCTTCATTAAGAACTTAGCATCTGTAAACACATAAAACTCATAGGAACTATCTTAGTTTTAACCAGCAACTATTTATTTACAACTTATGTTGAATATGTATATGAGGTACTTTTATGAAATTACATTATTATCAAGAAGAGAAGGGAATGGAAATCATGGCTTATGGAAGAAAATAAGAAAGACTCAAAGAGTTAACCAAAGGTAGGTGGTGGAAAGGGGCTTTGAAAGATACACTTTGTTTTCTAAATGACATTCTAGAATATTCTAGAGGGAATATTCTAGAATTACTTATAACAAATCTTATTTTTAGGAATGGATCTGGCATACTTTTAGGAAGAGATATAAATAATATATCATCTAGGACTCATGGGTAAATATATCCTTAAAATTAAGCACCATCTAGTACAGGACATCTTTCTACAGCCCACCCTTAATATGAGTCTAGGCTTGCATATTGTTTGTGACAGAGTTGGTTATATCACAACTAACATGCCTCCTCTTCTCTTCTCTTACACAATGACCCTGATGGATATCACTGGATTGGTGCTGAACGAATGAAACCCCTTATCTGTGTCAGAGACCATTGGATAGAGATCTTGTTTTATTCCTGTTATTTTTTTTCTTTCGGGATGATCATCAACTACATCTTTAGTTCTTTATATGCTGTAGATTCCAGACACATAATCATTCTATTAATGACATTCTATAGAATGTCAAATTGTCTCTTAAAATGAAATGCTCAGAATCTAACTAAATGTTTCCTATGTAAATGGATGGGGCAAAACGGTATCTATTGCACTTATGGTAATACCTTCTTTAGCCCAAATAAGGAGTTCACTATAGATTGTAAGCATCTTTTTCTCGTGAAAAGTTCCTAAGTCTTTTCAATATAAGCAGGCCATCTCTCTCTTTGGAGCAATTAATTTTTTAACTGGAATTTTAAAAATTTTTTTAAAAGGATGTATATATACATACATATGTATGTATATTTGTGAGTAAGTGGGTGTGTGCATATATATATAAAACACATTTCTTTACAATTTCAATGTCATTATCCTGAAAGTCTCTCTTTACACTTAGGATACCCATACATTTCATGATTATTCCTTGATTGTGTGAAATCTATTATATCAGCACTCATCTACCTCGCTTATTGTTAAGTATATCTCTATTTAACAATATAAAATCTTTCATAGAAAGTGATTCACAAATAGGCTACTTTTCCATTTCTGAATATTTTCATGTAATTTTTCTCTGTTATTGTGAGTCAAGATTGTTGGAACAAAATGGTATCTAAATCAAGGATATTTGTGCAAAGTCTAGATGATACCATATGACTTTAGACCAAGAAAAAAGATAAATACTGTTTGCCACGGTTTTTTTAGTACAAGCTTCTTGATCTCACCTTGCCTCTCTTTTGCCTCCTAACTCTTTTAAGTTTGACAATTGCTTATGCAACTGTCTTGTCATAGACTTTTGTAAATATTGTTGAGGCATTTTTTCCAGATTGAGAAAAATGCCTTGAGTGTCTGCCTAGCCTGGTCTCATTAATATGCATCTACATCGCCCTCCTATGACAGACAGCAGAGAAAATACAGAGACAGGAGGGTGGGAAATTAAATTATGTGAATTTTCTTCTACTGACAAGGTGAGGAATTAAGTAACCACACTGGTATCTTTATATTTATTTTTACTCCTCACTCCAGGAATTTTCTAGCAGGTAAGGCAAACAACCAGGAAATCTAAAATATTCATTTACATTGAGGTCAGCTGACAGCTTTACATAGAGTGAATCAGAAATTTACACTTGACTTCCAAATAAGGTCATAAGCAGTTTTAAAGCAGAGAAGTTCAATTGCATAAGTTCTTGAACATTAGTTTTTGTTCAGTATTGAAGCCGGTATCTAAATGGATATGCAGTTGATCCCAGAAGAGAAATAAAAAGCTTTATTAATTGGAAACTTTGGCCTACAAGCTTCACTTTACCCATATCTGTGTATTCTTTCTCATTTTTGATTTTATCATAAGTTCCTTCCATAAATAAAGCTAATGTAGGACTATAGTTTTTATTACAACATTCATTTTTAAGACTTTCAGTTCTTGTTAAGTAGAGATGTTGAGTTTGAAAACAATTAGGAAAGAGTTAAACGGCTGAATTTACAATGGCAAATTAAAAGTAATATTAGAAACAAGATAGTAAGGTCTAGAAATAAGACTCTACCTATTGTGATTACACAAGACATCCTCAGAGATCGCTCTTAAGTAATACCTTGTTACCTAAAGCAAACTCTCTAGATCCATGATTGAAGAAAGATAAAAACAAAACAAACTGATTCAGAGCACAAGAATTAGAAGGTCATTATGTGCCTTCTCCACCAATAGCAATCAGGCATATTCTTTGTATCTATGCATCATCTATCTTTTTATCCATCCATCCATTCATTATCTACCTACTAATAACTTGTCTCTCTGTGTATGTCTCTATCTGTCTTTATATAGTAGAATCAATTATTCCAAAAAGCTAAAGGACAATATACAAGTAGATTAAAGCAGAACTGCTTTCTTTCAAGACAGAGCCTCAGGATCCCTGTGTTCTAGCTTCACCCCTGTGCCCTCTGTCTCCTGCCTCCTTTCTTTTCAGAAAGACCACAGAGTCATACACAGTGCTCAGCTCTAAACTCCTGCTCAGAATTCCGGTTTCTGGTTCTTCATGTAAGGAGCTTGGAAGTTGACACCTCATCCTAACAGTCAAAAAAGTGACAGACTGAAAAAAATCAACAGATCTTGGATCCATAAGAGAGGTGAAGACACAGAACAAACCTTTGACCTCAAAATTTGAGAGACAGACAGGAAAATACAGGAAATCATGGCTTACAAAAGCAGAGATTGATAAATTGTAAGAGTACAGACAAATCTTGAGAGTTAGAACTCCAGGACGATCAAGTCATAGAGAAGCCTCCATACTTTTCTAAGTTTTACCTAAAGGATGTTGACCAGATTCTCATAGTAAAATCAGAGAAAAATTCCCACACTTCCAGAATGGTGGGGGAAAAAAGGAACAGAGCCCTCTGTTCTTCTAAATAAGGCCTCTCCTAAAGGAAACTAGTTAACCAGAGCCTAACCTCCTGGGGTACCATCAGAGCCTAATCGACCTGGGGGAAGGAAAATACCCCAACTCTAGCCCACTCTAGCCTCTCTGTTCCACCTAATTGGGGAGGAAAAAAAAAAAAAGAAACACTGGTAAATTTCACAGTCTGGAAGCATGTTCTTACTGAAAGATTGAAAACTAATCAGAGTACTGTAGAACACTTCCCCTCTTCCACACCTTACCACTACATTAATAGAAAACTATTTACAGCCTTTCCTATTACCTAGTTCATCATACCCAGCTATTAAGAAAAAATTATAAGACATACTAAAAGGCAAAAAAGACAATTTGAAGAGACAGAGCAAGCATAAAAATCAGACAAGGCAGGGATATTGGAATATCAGATAATAATTTTTTTAAGAAACAACTGTGATTAATAAGTTAAGGGTGCTAGCAAATAAAATACAGAATGTGAGAACAGATGGGCAATGTAAGCAGATAAATACATATCCTAAGTGAGCCAGAAATAAATTCTAGGAGCCAAAACATTATAACCAAAATAGAATCCTCTTGATGGGCCTATTTGTAGACTAACTGAGGGTTGTTTGAGATTGAAGACATACCAATAGAAACCTCCAAAACTGAAAAGCAAAAAGAACAAAGACTGAAAGAAGAAAAAAAAACAGAACATTCAAGGACTGTGTGACAACTACAAAAGATGTTACAATACATCTGATGGGACTACAAGAAGAAGAATAAAGAAAGGAAGAGCAGAAAAAAATATTTGAAACAATGACTGAGAATTTTTCCAAATTACTGTTAAACACCAAGCCAAAGATAAATCCAGGAAGCTACAGAGAATACGAAACAGGATAAATGCTAAAACCAAAGAAACAAACAATGAGCCAAAACCAAATATAGGCATATCATTTTAAAATTACGGAAAATCAAAGATTAAAAAAATGGAAGATAATAAATAAATAAATAAATAAATAAATACTGTTGAGAGAGAAAAATCCACCAACCTAGAATTCTCTACCCTGAAATATTATTTTTCAAAAGTGAAGGAGAAATAGACTTTCTTAAACAAATTCGAGAACATTTGTTGCCTGTAGAACTGCCTTGCAAGGAATGTTAAAAGATTTTTGGAGCGAAAAAGATAAATATAGGTCAGAAACTCATATGTAAATAAAGAAAAGAAAGTATTGAAGAAATAAATGAAGATAAAATAAAAATTTAAAAAAAGTCTCAATTGATCTAACAGATTTAAATTGCTTAAAATAATAATATCAACAATACATGAGTTTATGTATGCTTATGTATATGTAGTATATATGTATAATATAGTATAAAGTTTATGTATGCTTATATATGTGAAATTAATGACAGCAATGATATAAGACATGAGAGGAAATAATTAAGATTATTTTGTTATAAGGTACTCACACTAATCTTGAAGTGGTATAATGTTATTTGAAGGTAGACTTGGATTAGTTGTAAATGAGTACGGCAAACTCCAGGACAATCACCAAAAATAGTGAAAAACAGTATAACTGATATTCTAAAAAAGCAGAGAAAATGGAATTTTATAAAATTGCAGTTAAAACTACAAAAGGCAGAAAAAGAGTGGAAGACAAAAACAAGAACAAAGAATAAGGGCAACAAAAACAAAATAGTACCAAATATAATAGATATTTACTTAACTATACCAATAATCACTTTTAATGTCAATGGTCTAAATGTATTAATAAAAGGACAGATTTTTTTAGAGTGGATTAAAAAACACAACCCAACTATGTATGTTGTTCACAAAAATTCCACTGTAAACATGAAGACACACAAAAATCTTAACAAAGAACCCAAAATAAATTCTGGAAATCAAAAACAGTGTAACAGAAAGAATGTCCCTGGTAAGCTTAATAAATTAAAAGTAAATGAATGAAGAAAAATATATCACGTTAACACTAAACAAAAGAAAGCAGAATAATGATACTAATTTGAGACAGAGTGGATTTTAAGGCAAGAAGAGTTATCAGATATAAAGAAGGTTATTACACAATAGACAAGTTCTCTAAGATGTAACTAATTCTTAATGTGTATGCAACTAACAACAAAGCATCAAACTATATGAGGTTAAAAACTGATAGAACTGAAAGGAACTCCACAATTATAGCTGGAAACTTAAACATCCATCTGCAGAAATAGATCCAGCAGGCAGAAAATTAGTAAGAACGTAGTTGAACTCAACAATACTGGCTATAATTGACATTTATGGGCTACATCAAGAGACAGTAGAATATCCATTCCTCTTAAGCTCACAAGATAGACCACATTCTGGATTAAAACACACAGATTAACAAATTTTTAAATATAGAAATCATATAATGTTTTCTCTCAGAATATAATTAAATTAAACTAAGAAATCAATGACAAAAAAAATTGAAAAGTTCCAAAATACACAGAGATTAAACAACACATTTCCAAATAACACATAGATTAAAAAAGAAATCTCAATATAAATTAAACAATATTTTGACTAAGTCAAAATAAAAATACAACTTATCAAAATTATGGGATGTAGCAAAAGCAGTGCTTTGAGGGAAATTTATAGTACTGGATGTGTAAAATAGAAGTAGATCCATCATAAATAGTGTAAGCTTCCACCTCAGGAAACTAGAAAAAGAAAATTAAATACAATGTAAGCAGAAGAAAATAAGCAATAAGAATCAATGCAGAAATCAGTGAAATTGAAAAGAGGAAATCAATAGAGAAAATTAACAAAAACAAAACCTAGTTCTTTAAAAAGATAGATAAAATGAATAAGCCTCTAGTCAAGCAAAAAAAAAGACAAAATACAAATTGCTATTATTAAAATTTCAGTTTTTGTGAACATTAAGAGGATAATAAAGTAATATTATGAACAACTCTATGTCTACATATTTAATAACCTAAATGAAATGGACCAATTTCTTGAAAGACACCATGTGCCAGAAATCACACAAGAATAAATAGACAACCTGAATAAGTGCATATCTATTTAAAAATTGAATCAATGATTAATAGTCTTTCAAACACAAATCACCAGGCCCAGATGGATTCACTGGTAAATTCTACCAAACATTAAAGGAAAAAATTACAGCACTTTAAGCATCTTTTTAAAGTAATTAAAAGTTAGAACTTTCTAACTTGTTCTATGAGGTCAGCATTATCCTAATACCAAAATCAGGCAAAGCCATTATAAGAAAATAAAATTACAGATCCAGATATCTCACAAACATTGATGCAAAAATCCTCAACAAATATCAGCAAATGGACTCTAGCAATGCATAAAAACAATTATAAACTATGGCCAAGTGGGATTTATCCTGGGTATCTTAGTCTGGTTCAACATGCAAAAATCAATTAATGTAATCAATCACATCAACAGGCTGAACAAGAAAAGAAAAGAAAATGTATACAGATGGGGAAGTAAAAAATAAAGTTTTCTTTGCTCACTGATGAAATAATCATCTATGTGAAAAATCCAAAATAATCAACAACAACAACAACAACAACAAACTCCTGGATCTAATATGCAATTATTGCAAGGTTGTAGAAGACAAAGTAAATATACAAATTGAATTTTTTTTATATACCAGTAATGAACAAGTGGAATTTGAAACTAAAACACAATAGTATTTACATTAGCACCTCCAAAACTAAATAATTAGTTATAAATCTAACAAAATATGTACAAAATTTATGTAATCAAAAGTGTAAAGCCCTGATCAACTAGACTAAAATAAAATTTAAAGAACTAAATAAATGGAAAGATATTTCATGTTCACAGATAAGAAAATTCAATAATGCCAAGATGGGAGTTCTTTCCAACTTGATCTGTAGATTCAATGCAATCCCAATCAAAATCTCAGCAAGTTATTTTTTGAATATAAAAAATGGACTCTGAATTTTATGTGGAGAAGGAAAAGACCCAGAATAGCCAACACAATATTGAAGAAGAACAAGTTGTACAATGACACTACACAACTTCAAGACTTACTATAAAGCTACAGTAATCAAGGCAGTGTGGTATTGGGAAAAAATAGACAAATAGATTAACTGAACAAAATAGGGAGCCCAGAAACAGACTCAAATAAATACTGTCAATTGGTTTTTGATAAAAGAGAAAAGAACATACAATGGAGCAAGGGAAATCTTTTTAATAAAAGGTGCTAGAGCAACTAACTGGCCATCCACATGCAAAAACATGAATTTAGATAGACCTAACACCTGTCACAAAAATTAACTCAAAATGCATGATAGACCTAAATGTAAAATGCCAAACTATAAGACTTCTAGAGCATAACATAGGAAATAACTTAGATGACCTTGGGTATGGTGATGATGTTTTAGATACAACACCAAAGGCATAATCCATGAGATAATTGACAAGCTGGACTTTCTTAAAATTAAAAACTTCTGCTCTGCAAAGGACAATGTCAAGAGAATAAGACAAGCCGGAAACTTGGAAAAGTATTTGCAAAAGAACAAAACAAAATATTTGTAATACCCCAAATATACTAAGAACTTTTAAAACTCAACAATAGGAAAAGAAATAACTCAATTAAAAAATGAGACAAAGACCTTAAAGGACATCTTACCAAAGAAGATATATATATATATGTGTGTGTGTGTGTGTATATGTGTGTGTATATATATGTGTGTGTCTATATATACACACATATATACATATATACACATATATGTGTATGTATATATATATATAAATATGACAAAGAATTATGTTAAAAGAAACTCCACATTTTATGTTAAATGAAAATTAAAACAATGAGATACTACTACACACCTATTAGAATGGACAAAATCCAGACCATTGACAGCATAAATTGATGAGAAGAATAAGGAGCAACAGGAAATTTCACTCATTGCTGGTAGAAATGCAAAATGGTACAGCCACTTTGGAAGACAATTTGGCAGTTTCTTTTAAGACTAATCATACTTTTACCATGCCATCAGGCAGCTGTGCTTCTTGGTGCTTACCAAACAAAATTGAAAACTTATGTTCACAAAAAAACCTGAATATGAATTATTACAGCCACTTTTAGAGGATTTTAGTGGATTTTACCACTCTAATAATCTGTATTTTAATTGGTATATTTAGATCACTGGCAGTAAAAGTGATTAGAGGGTGTTTATAGGTATAGTGAAATAAATATTTGCTACTGTTTTGTATTTGTTGCCTTTGTTCTTTATTCTTATTTTTGTCTTCCACTCTTTTTCTGGTGTTTGTGGTTTTAACTTAGATTTTATATTATTTCATTTTCTCTGCTTTCTTAGAATATCAGTTATAATTTTTTTTCACTATTTTTGGAGGTCATCCTGGAGTTTGCAGTACACATTTACAACTAATCCAAGCCTACCTTTAAATAACATACAAATTTAAGGATAGTGTGAATACCTTATGGTAAGAAAATAATCCTAACTCTTTCTTCTCATCTCTTGTATTATTGCTGTCATTCGTTTCACTTATATATAAGCGTGCATAAGCAAATATACACATAATGTGTATATACATAAGCACACATAATCTAACATAATTGCAAAAATTTGGAAGTCACCAAAATGTCCTCCAGTAGATGAGTGGATAGATAACCTATGGTACATACAGACAATGGAATATTATTCAGTGCTAAAAAATTAATTATGAAGCCATTAGAAGACATGGAGAAAACCAAAATGCATACTACTAAGTGGAAACTCCAAACCAAAAAGAATACATACCATATCACCCTACTGTATGACATTCTAGAAAAGGCAAAACTATAGGGCCAGTAAAAATTCAGTGGTTGCGAGGGGTTGATAGGGGCAGGGATGACTAGGCAGAGCACAGAGGATTTTCAGGGCAATGAGAGTACTCTGTATGATGCTATAATAATAAGTAGATGTAATTATACATTTGTCCAAATCCATAGAATGCGCAACACCAAGAGTGAACCTGAAAGTAAGCTATGGACTTTGACTAATTATGATGTGTCAATGTAGGTTCATCAGTTGTAACAAGTTGTACCATTCTGGTAGGGGATGTTGATAATATGGGAAGCTATGCATGAGAATGGGGGATGTTGTTAACGTGGGAAGCTATGCATGTGTGGAGTTCGGGGACATATGGGAAATCTCTATAATCTCCTCTCAATTTCGCTGTGAATCTAAAACTGCTGTGAAAAGTAGCTTAAAAAATGACTTCTCAGAGTCACTTCTGCAACATGAAAGCCCATTTTAAGGATGGACTTCTCTATGTATTCAGAGTTACTTACGTCTTCACAAAATTATGAAGAAGGCCAAAACAGTTTACATTCTTCTCTTTCTGGCTACATCTTTTCTCTTCTGGCCATTTTTGTTTGGAATGCCTAGAAATTTTCTGCAGCTTGTGATTGACAAGATCCATACTTTTCTACTCCTAATTTATATCCAACTCAAATTTGCCCATTCTTATTTATGCCACATACTTTATATGAATGACTACTCTCAATTTCTCTAGAGTTAACTAATCTTAGCTTCTTGTAGAGAAGGGAAAACTCTTACTAGATGAAATGAATAAAATTTGTTACCAGCTTAATTTGTTTCTTCTTTTGGAAAATTTACTCCTTATAAAAGATGTAAATTCTGAATCTTTTCCTGTAAAATTAGGTGAAATTTCAGATTGTATTTTAGGGCATAGCACTCTTTTAGGTGTATTGAAAATCCTCCTACATAGGTGTTTACCAGGGCGCCTAACATAGTGTCAATGCATTTTATATGTTCAACAAATTCTTGTTGAATTTTATGAAAAACACGTTTATGTCTAATAAGAGAGCCATGAGATTCAAGACCCTGCAGCTGTTACAAAACAAGGCCTCTTTCACCAATTGCAGTTGAGAGGGGACACTAGACATAGATAAAATGGGTACATTGAGGGGGAAGGGAGTCAGAGTCTGGATCTTATTTTAATGGCACCAGTTTAGAAATGGGTCTATGTTTGTAAATCTTACAGATCATAGCATGTATTAGTCTGTTCTCACACTGCTAAGAAAGACATACCAGAGAGTAAGTAATTTATAAAGGAAAGAGGTTTAATTGACTCACAGTTCTATATGGCTGGGGAGCCCTGAAAATCATAGCAGAAGGTGAGTGAGGAGCAAAGTCACATCTCACATCGAGGCAAGCAAGAGAGCGTGTGCAGGGAAACTCCCCTTTATAAAACCATCAGATTTTGTGAGCCTTATTCACTATCACAAGAACAGGATGGGAAATTTCAACCCCCATGATTCAGTGATCTCCCACCAGGTCCCTCTCATAACACATGGGAATTATGGGAGTTACAATTCAAAATTAGATTTGGGTGGGAACATAGCCAAACTATATCATAGGATATTTTGAAAATTTTGTAGAGGTTATTGATGATCTTCTTTATATAAAATTTGCCAGCAACAATATGAGTGATTTATGGATATTTTATGGGTTTCATGAAGCCTTTGAAGTCAACCCAATGGGTCTATAAACTCCATGTTAAGATTCCCAGTTATATTGTAGTCTGAAATAGAGCCTACTGATAAGAGCACTGTAAAAAACAAAATTCTCTTTGATTATTTTTCAGAGTAGGGCATGGATTCTGCTCCCAACAAAACTGCAATAACCCTATAGAGAGCAGATTGTGGTAAATGAATTTGTGATTTCTATATTTCAGCATCAATTAGAATTCATAGTGATAATTTACATATGTGTTGGTGTGTGTGGTTGAGTAAGCTGTTAGATAATGCTATTAAATTAGTTCTATTGATTCATGGAAAATGCAAACCTATAGCGATTCATCTGACAGTAGTTTGCATAATGATGACTGAAGATTTTGCATTTACATTAAAAAGTGTTAGTGACTCAAATAAGCTCTGGGAACCAACAACATGAAATCTGAAAGCTGCAGCTTGTAAAGAAAATAACAAAGAATGATGCAATAAGATGATCCCCACTGTCCTTAATCCAACTCTCTTAAACAGAGAAAGTACATTTTGTTAGTTCTCCTGTCCAAGGGCAATAAAGTTTACCATGATTTGACTTTATTTAATACATAGCCACTCCTGCATGCTGTAGCAGGAGACAGCTGGATTAAGTTACGTAGCACTAAATTAATTATACATTGATAGGCATACTGTTGCTAAAAGTCCAATCTATACTGGAAAAGGTAAAGTGGGTTATACTTAGATATTTGAGCAACACATTTGGAATTTAACTAAAATAATTTTCAAATAATTAGCTTGCATTTAAGATTTGATAGTGATGCACTTGCAAAATGTAGACAATTTCAGAGTTATCCCCATGACTTGGCCAAATAACCTCTGCAAACCCAAAGAGGCTTTCTTGAGGGAACTTAAAGGAACGATTCTCAGGTGGGTCAACATAGAATGAAAGTATTTTTCTTTATGACCAAATCCCATTGGAAATTGTGGAATGTGGTCTTTCCCATTACATATCAACTTAACTTCCCAGACCTCACTATTACAAGATCGAAAGCAGACAAAATAGTATTGTACACTTTAAATTGTTAGGTGAGTGACCAATTTGACAGCTGCCTTATACATCCTTTGAAAATTCAAATCAAACAGAGAAGGCAAAAAGCAAGTGAATTATTAATGATGCACTTCATATTCAGTGTGTGTATCCAGCAAGTAAACACTTTTTTGAATGCTGACTTTTAAAATATTTAAATAAACTCTTCTATTTTGCTTTATGTTAGTGCCCATCTAATTTTGAAATACTAGGAGGATGTCTTTGTGTCCTCACATTACATATGCTTCAGTTTTCATTATTTAATTAATATGATGTATTTCTGTGGTCCCAGTTACTCAGGAGGGTAAGGAGGGAAGATCCCTTGAGCCCAGGAATTTGTGGTGGCAGTGAGCCATGATTGCACCAGTGCACTCCAGCCTAGGCAACAAAGCAATACCTCCTCTCTAAAAAGTTTTTTTTAATAAATAAATAGATAAAAATAATTAATATGACAGGAGCAATAATTATTGACATGGAAAAATATTCACCATGGGCTACTAAATGATCAAAATATGCATTATAAAGCAATGTACTCATTATTTAGACAAAAGAGATAAATTTAAATTATACCTTCCCCCGCCCCCACACACACAACCTCTGTAAGTATGTGCAACAAAAACATCAATATCAATTTAATCTGGGTAGAAATATCAATATTTACTTATTTTTTGTAAATTATTTTTAAAACGCATGATTTTATCATAGCTCTAGACAAAGAGAAACATTTTCTCCCACTATTTTCATCACAGTACCTACCCTATCTTCATCATCATAAGTCTTCATCATGTGCATGAAGCTGAATAACATGATAATAGAGGCTATATTCATTTAACAGACCTTGAACACTTGAAGGTCTTGAAAGTTGAAACTACACTAGCTATGTGGTTACACAACTTCAACTCTGTGATTTTAAGGCATTTAAAAAGTATGTATAATATACATAAAGTACACAACCATAAATGATGAGGTCCAATAAAGTGAATGCCTCTGTGTAACCACCATCCATTTAAGGAAATAGACCACGAAGAGCATCACAAAAGTGCCTTCTCAACTCCAGTCATAACTGACCACAAAAGATAACTACTAGCCAGGATTTTAGCTCAGTAGAATTGTACATACACAGAATTATATAAAATGTACTCCATGTCTGTGCCATGTTTAGTTCAATAATATCTGTGAAATTTATTAATGTTATTGCAAGTAGCATACTGTACTTATTCTCATTGCTTTATAATATTCCATTGTGTGAATATGATACATTTAATCTATTCAATATTAATGAATATTTTTATTTTTAAACTTTTTACTTTCTTATTATATATATGAAATTATTCTATCAAAGTGTGTATATGTTCATCTTATTAGATACTGCCAAATGTTTCTGAAAGTAATAATACAATACACCTTGTTAGTAGTAGTATCTGGAAGTTCCTATTGCTCCACATTCTTTGCAGCACTCTGTGTTATTAGTTTATTATTATTATTAATTATTATTGTTAGCCATTCTGCAGAGAGTATAATGCTTTGTCATCATGTTATTATTTCCTTTTATCTTCTTTGTTTACTTACTGTCACTCTTTCATTATTGTAGAGGTTGTTTTACACTTTATAGCTTTATGCTTTCATAGTATATGCTCTTAACTTACCAGAGCTTATGTTCATGTGATGGTATACCACTTCAATTGTAAGAACTTTACAATGATACACTCCCACTCCTCCTCTTCTGATCTTTGTGCACTTATTAGCATATATTTTACATTATTTATGTAATAAACCCTAAACTATATTTACATTATTCTTTTTTGAAACCATCAATTATGTTTCAAAATTTAAATAATAAAAAATTCTTACATTTATCCATGCAGTTGTCATTTTTGGTACTCTTCACCTCTTTGTGTAGATCTATATTCCTATCAGCTATAATTTTTCTTCTGTTTGAAGGACATCTTTTCACATTTTATATAGTGTAAGTCTGCTGGGGATCGATTATTCAATTTTTTGTATGTTTGGATAAGTCCTTATTTTACCTTCACTTGAAAAATATTGTCAGTGGATATAGAATTCTATGTTGTCAGTTATTAATTTTGTTTCAATACTCTAGGTATTTTGCTCCATTGCCTCCTTAATTATTTTTTCCTCAATAAGAAATCTGTTAAGCTCTTTTTCTTTGTGCCTCTGCATATAACACGTCCTTTTACCTCTGGCTACTTTTAAGATTTTATCGATT
Organism: Homo sapiens; assembly: GCF_000001405.40. Classification (NCBI taxonomy): domain Eukaryota; kingdom Metazoa; phylum Chordata; class Mammalia; order Primates; family Hominidae; genus Homo; species Homo sapiens. The sequence continues at coordinate 49,035,681 of NC_000006.12, read as the reverse complement.
TTTTTTTTAGAAATTTATTTTCATATGCCTTGGTATAATTTTTGTAATATTTCTTGGGTGTCAGTTTTATTGAACTTCTTACATTTGTGGGCTTTTTAAATCAAATTTGAAAATTTTTGGTGATTTTTTTCTTCAAATATTTATTATTTTCTCTCTTCTCTCTTTTAAGTAGTCCAATTACATGTATATAGGCTATGTAAAACTGTCACTTAATTCATTGATGTTTAGTTAACTGTTTAAAAATGTGCTTTTCTCCCTGTTTTTGTATAGTTTCTATTATTCAGTTTTTAATTCATTAATATGTTCCTCTGAAATATCTAATTTTCCATTAATTTTACCTAGTGCATTTTTTATCTCAGTCTCCTAACGATATCACTTTTATCTCTAGGAGTTTAATTTAGCATTTTTCTTACGTCCTTTCTTATACCTACTTAATTCTTTGATCGTATAAAAGATAGTTATAGCTTTTAATTCTAACATAATTGCACATTATAACATATTGCACGTTCTAACATATTCTGTTAGAATACACAATTATTTCACATATTCTAACATAGTCTGTTATAACATGCAATTATATTGTCAGAATTAAAATGTTTAGATTAGATATCTAATCTAAAATCTATTCTAATCTAAAATTGCTTTTCATTTTAACATAATAATAATAATAGCACTTTTTAATTCTGTCTGCTATTTCTAACATTTGTGCCAGTCTGCATCGATTTTGATTCATTTTATTTTTTTTCCTCCATAAGGGTCATGCTTTCTTTTCATGGCTGGTAATTTTTTATTAGATTTTAGACATTGTTAATTTTATCTTTGTTGGGTGTTGTATCTATTTAGATCCCTGTAAGTATTCTTGAGCTTTACTCTAAGCTGCAATTAAATTACTCAGAAACAATTTATGCCATTTGGGTCTCGCTTTGTTAAATGGCAATAGAGAAGTATTAATTATAAGGCTTATTATTCCCCACTTCTGAGGCAACACCTTTTTGTGTATTCTTTTTTTTTTTTTTTTTTTTTTGAGACAGCGTCTGGCTCTGTCGCCCAGGCTGGAGTGCAGTGGCGCGATCTCGGCTCACTGCAAGCTCCGCCTCCTGGGTTCACGCCATTCTCCTGCCTCAGCCTCTCAAGTAGCTGGGACTACAGGAGCCCGCCACCGCTCCCGGCTAATTTTTTGTATGTTTAGTAGAGACGGGGTTTCACTGTGTTAGCCAGGATGGTCTTGATCTCCTGACCTCATGATCCACCCGCCTCGGCCTCCCAAAGTGCTGGGATTACAGGCGTGAGCCACCACGCCCGGCCTTGTGTATTCTTACTAATGTCTTGTGAATCTTGAGGTTTTTAGTCTGGTTGATGGGTACATGCACTACCCTTTTAATTGTGCAAGCATCAATTTCTATTATCTCTATTTCTTTTTATTTTTCATTGAAGTGACATCCACATAACAAAATTAATATACATAAATTTAAAAGTATAGAATGTATTGGTATTTACTACATTCACAATGTTATGCAACCACCACTTCTATAAAGTTGCAAATTATTTTTATCACTCCTTGCACCCTCAAAAAGTATGCCCTGTACCCATTAAGCAGTCACTCATCATTTCTCCATCCCCTGCAATGAATCTGCTTTGCCTATTCTGAGTATTTCATATAAATAGAATCGTAAAATATGTGCCATTTTGTGTCTCATATCTTTCATTTAGCATAATGTGTTTGAGGTTCATCTACATTGTTGCATGTATCAGTACTTCACTCCTTTTATGACCAAATAATACTTCATTGAATGTATGAGTCACATTTTGTGTATTTATTGATCAATTAATGGAAATTAGGTTGTTTCCAGCTTTTGACTATTGTCTTAATCCTTTAGGGCTGCTATAACAAAATACCATAAACTAGATAGCTTATAATCAATGTAAGTTTATTTCTTACACTCTTAGAGACTGTGGAGTCCAAGATCAAGCCTCCAGGAAGTTCAGTGTCTGGTGAGGGTCCACTTTCTTGGTTCATAGATGTCTCAGTGCGATTAAAGGGAAAATCTGTGGTCTCCTCAGACCTTTATAAGGGTACTAATCATTTTCATGAGGGCTCCACTCTCATGACCTAATTGCTTCTCAAAGACCACACCTCAAATTACCCTCACATTGGAGGCTAGGTTTCAGCATATAAATTGGGGGAGCAGAAGACACAAACATTTAGTCCAAAGCAGATACTCTGAATAGTGCTGCTATGAACATTCATGTAAAAATGTTTGTTTGAGTATCAGTTTCAATTCTTTGGGGTATACACATATGAGTGGAATTGCTGGACCCTATGGTAATTTTATGCTTAACTTTTTATGGAGAAGTCAAACTGTTTTCTATATAAGCCTTTTTACATTTCTACCATCAGTGTATGAGGGTTTAAATTTCTTTACATCTTCACCAACACTTTAAATATTCTATTTTTTTTTCTTAAAACCACTCTAGTGAGTGTGAAGTGGTACCACATTGTGGTTTTGAAGTGTATTTTTCTAATTACTAATGATATTGAGCATTTTTTAAATGTATTTGTAGACAATTTAAATATACTTTTTGGAGAAATGTCTATTCAAGTTCTTTGCTTATCTTATAATGGCATTGTTTATCTTTCTCTCATTGACTTGTATTTTTTTTCTATATTCTGGATACTACACTCTTATTAGATACTTGATTTGCTAATATTTTATCTCATTTTTAGGTTGTTTTTCTACTTTCTTAATAATATATTTGATACACAAAAGTTTTTAATATTGATGAAGTCCGATTTATCTATTTTATTTTGTTCATATGTTATCAGTGTTGTATCTAAATATCCATTTCAAATCCAAGGTCGTGATGATTTATTCCTATGTTTCTTTTTATGAGCTTTATGAGCTTAATTCTTACATTTAGATCCCTGATCCACTTTGAGTAAATTTTTCTATATGCTTTAAGGTAACTTTCCAATTTTATTCTCTGGCACTTGTTGGCTAGTTATGTGAATACCATTTGTTGAAGAGAATATAATTTCTCCTATTGAATGGTATTGGCACATTTACCAAAAATCAATTGGCCATAGATACATGAATTTATTCACTAACTCTAATTTCTATACTATAGGTCTATATAGTTATCTTTATGTCAGTTCCTCACTGTTTTGATCACTGTAGTGTAGTATGTTTTGAAATTGAGAAGTGTAGCCCTCCAACTTTGTTCTTTTTCTATATATTTTTTTTGGCTATGAAAATTTTACATGAATTTGAGAATTGGATTTCCTATTTCTGCAATAAAAAGAGGGCTGGTGAAACATTGATAGGCATTACAATGAGTCTCTAGATTGGCTTGGATAGCATATCCATCTTAACAATATTAGTTCTTCCAAACCATAAAATTGGGATGCCTTTCTATTTATGTGTCTTATTTAATTACTTTAAAGCAATGTTTTGTAGTTTTTAATGTACAAATCCTTCACATCTTAGGTTTCATTTATTTCTAGGTATTTTACCCTTTCTGATGCCAATACAAATAAAATTATTTTCTTGATTTCTTTTTCAGATTGTTCATTGCTAGTGTACATAGGTTATTTGAATAAAACAATGGTAATGAGAGAAGGGGCCGTTCCAGTAGAAGTTCAGACAGAAAATTACTATTAGGTTCATGGTGCTTAACTCTTACTTTTACATTAGAGTCCATCATGAAACTTAAAAATACTTTTGTTTTGGCCATAACCCTGGAATATATTCATCATAATCTCTGTGGTGGTATTTGAGAAGCAGTAGTTTTAAGAATTTTCCAGGTGATTGTGGTGTGCAGTTAGGATTGAGAATTATTGTCTTATAGCATTACTCTTCTTTATACCTGAATTTCTACTTCTCCTGCCAGGTAAATTGTGTTTTGTTAAAGGCTTTATTCTTATTACACATACTTCCTTCCAGCTGCAGGAAGACAATGTGTTTACAACTGCATATAAAGCTCAGGAGATGAGGTTGCTTTCCTGGCATCAACGTTGTAGAGGATCTTCCCCTTCTTTTCTGTCAGACAGCCCCTGAATTTAAAAGGATCTCATCTAAAGGCACCTGTTTCCACAAAGGATAAAACGTGTTAGCTGTTAACTGGAGGAAATTACTGCCTTGATACTAAGTAAATCACAAAACCTTTCTCCTATATTTCATGCCTGTGGTAGATCTCTCTATATGAACTAGTTTCATTGAAAATAGAGGAACAATTTTTAGCTCACTAATCACTAATATCAGGAATAAATTAACATGTTTCATTTCATATACAATACAGAGAGAGTCTCAGGAAAATCTTCAAGCTTGTTCACAGAAGATAGGAATTGTAGCCATTTTTTTTTTTTTTACACAGTATGACTATATGACTATAAGGCATTTTCTTTCTAGACATAATTTTAACTTAGAAAATCAAAGTTGGAATTGGGATTGTTAAATTTCCTAGTGGCTCTAATAATCTTTGACTTTATATGAAATAAAAGGTATGATTATTTACCGCTTTACTGAAATCTAGAGAATAGAATCTATAGTATATCTTCAAGTAAGTAGAAAAAAAAGCTAAAACCAGTCACAATTAGAATTGAATGAGGTTATGCTTGTTGTTTGACAATTATTTTGTAATAACAAATGTTTGTGCAATAATATGTGCCAGCCCTTTTAAGTATATAAAGTCATTTTATTTTTAAAGTAACCATTGATGTAAGTACTATTATTATCCCTATTGTACAGATGTGCAAACTGAAGGGCAGTGAGTTCTGGTAACATGCCCACATTTTCATACCTCACATGGAGCAGAAAGAGTCCTTGATCTTAAACAGCAAAGCTTTAGAGCTTGTGGTCTGAACCACTAACAAGCACTGACTCACATCTTCTCCATAATGAGAATAAAAAAGTACTTACTTGGATTGATGTTACTACAGGGTCAGTAAGCCAATTTTAACCAATCACTAGTTATAAATTGCTTCATTTGCATTCCCTAGGCCTTATTTTGTTAGATCTGTATCTTCACTTGTTCCCTACTGCCTAGAGCTCTAAGTGAAGTCATAGTCAATGCTGACCATGATTATTTTTCCTCATGTCAGCGTTCCCTTCCACAGAGAGAAATAGAGCTCCTTCCTCCTGTCCCTTCTGCATCTCTCAGCTTATCTATGGATTTTGTTTGTCTGGCAGAGTGGCTTATTCACATATTTTTTAATACTGTTAGACAGGTCATGCATTCTTCAATTCACCAGTCTCACAGCTACTTATTGCATTCCTGGAGACCATTTCATTCATTTATGTAACACATTCTAAATCACATGTGATTTTTGACTCCTGCCTGGAAAGCATAAGTAGATCATAATTAATGTTGTTTATATTTAATTTAACATTTGTTTTAACTAGCTCAGAAACAAATTTTCTTCCACAATAGCTAAAAAAATTATAGTATGGAAATAAATAACTTAACCATTGGATTCAAAAAGACTGCATGATCATAATGCCCTGAAGCTTAACATTTTAGGAATATGAAAATAAAACTAGTATCTTTACTAGGGGATCCAATTAGTGTTCAAAGAAAATATGCCTCCTGGGTAATCAAATGAACATAGTTCCGGAACAAAAACCAATCTCCTGGAATGTTTGATAAATAAACATAATTTGTATGAAAATTGCAGACACAAAGGTGAGGAAAACTACAAAGTGGAGCTGTCAAGGTGGAATGAATGCAAAATCATCCTCTGTGTTTCTACTATTGTCCACAGTTTTTCAAATTTAGAGTCTTCTTTTACCTTAAACCCTGGGGTTTCTAGCATATGCACAGTAATATCCAACAGAGTTTCACATCTCGAAAATTAACCTTATGAGATAAAACATTTTAACCATATATGTTGTATCACAGTCAAGAATGTAAGTGCGCAGGGTTAGGAAAAGATACGAAACCATATAAAAGGAGGGTATTTTCAATAAACATTTAATTCTCTAGCCATTTTTCCCAAAAAGAATTTTAAAGTCACCATGCAAGGTTGCATTAGGAAGCTTGATGCTTTTCTTGGTCTTCACTATATAAAGTGTTAAATTTCTCCCTCAGTATATTCTCAGCCTCCCTTAATAGATACACCACCTTTTGGAGGCATTTTGGTAAGCAATTTAGAAATCCAAATTTCCCGTAGGTCACTTTGCCCTTGTAACTCCTGTCTTTCATTCTAGTCACAGGGGATGGCCATCTAGACCATCCCTATATACTCTGATTATAGGACCCTGAGCATCCCCATGCATCATACAATATATAGCTCAGGCAAGCCACTTGCTGCTTTTATAGAATCAAAATGAGAGAACACAGATTCTATTATCCCATAAAATTGCCCAGGCATTTAATATTTTTGGCAAGCCTAAGAACATGCTTCTGGGGTTGAGGTAAGAAGCATTTGCCAATAACTAAAAAACAAAACAAAACAAAACAACAACAACAAAAAAACAAATAGCAACAGAGAAGATGGTATGAAACTCATTGATATGCTACTGCCTGTGGGAATTACCAAAAGTACAGATTAGAGCACACACACACACACAAATGTTAGGCTAGGGCCTATGTAACAGATTAGATCTAATCCCTGTATTTCATCCCACCACAGTTATAGAAAACTCCCTGCAGCTGCCATTCTATGAACAGATGTAAAAAGAATGGATAAAAAATTTTACCCCACTGAAGAAGTTTAGAAGGATGAGTCAATGTGCCTGGTGGGTTCTGTGCTGTATTGGAGCTGGCCAGAAAAGTGGCATTATGAGTGAATATAGAGTGGCTTTACACTACCTGTAGAGTCTTTTACACTACATGCTATCTCTTAATTCTGATCATTTTTAAATTCTCATTTTATAATTGGGGAAATTGAAACAATCCATGGGATAATGATATATTTTTACAGTTGATAAGGGACAGAACTATTATGACAGAACCCATAAGTCTTGGTTGTATAACTACATTTCCCCACCAAGTTCATGCAAGATAAATGTTCACTGACCACCTGCTATACCGAGAGCATTTTTCCAGGTGATTTAGAGATAAATGAAGAGAACAAAACCTATCTAAGAGGGTCTAGGCTATGCAGAGGGAACAGAAATTAGAATTCCAGAATTACAGGATCCTATTCCAGCACCATGCCTTATTTCAGATGTTCAGATGTTAGACAAAGACTCAACATCTCTGAATGTGGTTTTCTCAACTGGACAATGGAAATGATATGACGTATCTTTAAGAGTCATTTTAAAGACTAGAGACAATGTTTTCAAAAATTTACCATATGGTATATGGCCAAGTAGCTTTTAAATAAATGTTAATTTATATAGTCATCAAAGGAATAAGACAAGATAACACATTAGGATAATGACAGATAGAATGAAGTAAATGCCTTTACAACTTTTATCATACAAACTTTATACTATCCATGCTTTCATGCCTTAGAATGAGAAAATCTCAAGATTGGAAGGAAACAAATATCACCCTTACTTTAAGTTCACTGCTACTCCTTTAGAAAAAATAAATAAATAAATAAAAAGGACTTTTTTTTTCCTGTGACGACTCTTTTATATATCCTCATATAATTTTCCAGTAATATTTTAAGATACAAGAAAGCTCAAAATATTTCATTATGCACCATATCTACCAATGTTCATGGGAAGAATTTATCAAACTACGTAGTACAAACCTTTGATTTTTGTAGTATAATTGACTCCTAATTCAGTCAAATTTTTACTTCTCTTTAGAAACATTAAAAAAGAAAAAGCATACACTGTCAGCACTGCCAACTTGTCTCCAAAACAAGTTTTTAAATTAGGACATATTGTGCAATATTAAGATGGTATGAATCCTTATGCATGCTTTACCTTGCATACTTTAAAAAATAGCACCCATTCTTGCAAATGACAACTTAACTGTTGTTACATCTTTCCCCATAAACAACATGGAAGCAGAAAAGTAGAGTGGCTGACGGTCAGTGTAAAGAAAATGCATATCCTCATCTCATAGTGTCCACTTCCCTGCATATTATAATATGCTCCTCCATTGTCAGCATGGCCAGAAGTAGAGTTGTAAATTGATTCAAGGAAAGTTGGTAGCAGTTTCTTTCAATCATTTAAAACTTAGAGTTAATGTGATCAGAAGACAAAAGAATATGGGAAACAGGTATGTGGTTAAAAATATAGATCATTTTTTTCAAATCAGCCCCTACCAGGTAAAGTGATACATACAGATTAGAGAACAGAGCATGTATTAGTCAGGGTTCTTCAGAGAGAAAGAACTAATAGGATATATATCCCATTAATGTCATGGAACATTTCAGCCTCCATAATCATATGAGGCAATTCCCCTAATAAATCCCCTCTTCTCTCTCTCTTTCCTTAATATATATATATGTATGTATATGTGTGTGTATACACACACACACACACACACACACGAGATATTCCATGACAGGCCATCTGCAAGCTGAAGAACCAGAGAAGCGTAGAGTGTGGCTCAGTCCAAGTCTGAAGGCCTAAGACCCAGTGAAGTCAATAGTGTAACTCTCAATCTGAGGCCAAATGCCTAAAAACTGGGGGTGCAGGGCTACTGATGCAAGTCCTGAGTTCAAAGACCAAACAGTTTAGAGTTCTGATGTCCAAGGGCAGATAAAGAAGGGTGCCTCAGCTCCAGAAAAGAAAGAGAGGGTCAATTTGCCTTTCTTCTACCTTTTTGTTCTATCTAGGCCCTCAGCAGATTGGATGGTACCTGCCCATCCAACTGGAGGAGGGTGGGTCTTTATTACTCAGTCACTGATTCAAATAGCAGTCTATCTGATGGTAGATTACAGGCTTTTAGCATGCCTCTGCCACTTGGAAGTAGCAAGATAGTGCATAAAGATAAACTCTGTGAGCTTATTAGTCAGGATTCTTCAGAGAGACAGAAGGAAATTCAAGAAGAAAATTCAATTAATTCAAGAAGGAATATGGGAATCCACCAGAATCATGTAGGGCACCCAGATTTTGGGAAAGAGATTGCTGGCAAACAGTCTCTATGATGGAATCTGGCTGACAAAAGTGAGTGAAGCGCCAGTACACAAGAGATGCAGGGAGCCTTTCTCTGTGACTCACATTTGCACTGGGGATCCGAGCAACCCAAGCTGAGGGAGAACATTTTGTTTCTCACAAGCCCTGGAGCTAGTGTGGGAAGAGGCTTGTAGATGCTATAATGGAAAGACACTGGGAAAACTGCAACATTGGCGCAGACCTAGGACTGAGAGCAGGATACCATTTTTAATCCAGGTGAATACAAAGTCAGCCATTCTTTGGTGACCCCATTCTTTGGCAACCCATTCTTCTGGTTGCAAAAGCATATTTGTCTCAGGTCAGAGATTAGAATGTCCACTCTGGGGTAGGATAGGGGCCTCCATAGCCAGAACTTTGGAAAGTGCCTCAGCAGTAGGAGCTGAAATTGTATTCCCCCTGTCACAGCCTGGGGTGGGAGGAGAGCTGCTACAGCTGCAGTTTCTCCTGGGCAGAAAACTTACAGGTAGAGCCAGCTTGGCAACCTAGAACCAGTCTGTGTGTGCCATTGTTGGTTTCCCCAGGCTGCTCCCCTGAGATCCTGGTGCAGCAGGGCCCTCTCTACTCCACTTCCAGACAGAAATACAGGTATTTGGAGCACCTACTTGCCTGGACCAGCAACCTGAGCTGCTCCACCCTTCATGGAAATAATTGTGGTACAGAAGAGCTCTTTCTGTTCCATGCCTAGACAGATCTTCAGGCATTCAGAGCACCTGCTTACCTGGATCAGCAGCTTGACCAGCCCCACCCTTTCTGTGCAGAGATCCTGGTGCAGGGGGGCCCTCTCTGTTACGTGCTCAGGCAGATCTCTAAGCACTCAGTGAATCTGCTTGCCTGGTTTAGCAACCTCAGTCACCTCACCCCCTCTATGCAGAGATCCTGGTGCAGGAGGCCCTATGCCCCATGCCCAGGGACATATCCAGGCATTCAGAGAACCCATTCACCTAGATTAGCAGCCTGAGTTGCCCTGCCCTTCCTGTGCAGAGATCCTGGTGCAGGATCAGGGGTCACTATTCTTATATCAGATAAAAACAGACTGTCAACCAACATCAACAAAGGCAGACATCTGCTTCACAACCAGGCAGACTTCCAAGCATTTAGAAAACCCATTCATCTGGTTCATCAGGCTGAGTTGCCCCACACATTCTGGATATAGATTGTGATGCAGCAAGGCCCTCTCTGCTTCATGCCTAGGCAAATCTCCAGGTATTCAGAGTACCAGCTCACCTGGATTTGTAGCCTGAGGTGCCCCAGCATTCCTGTGCAAAGATTCTGGTGCAGGAGGGCAATCTCCATCTTTGTTCATTAAATTTATTTTGAACTAAGTCGGGTAAAAATAAAAAAAATAAATTTAATGAACAAAGTCTTTGAGAAATATCAGATTATATAAAGCAATCAAACATACATATTATTGGCATTCAAGAGAGAGAATGAGCAAGGGAAAACACCCTGGAAAACATATTTAAGGAAACAATTTTTAAAAATCTTCTAATTTTGCTAGAGAGGTAAACATTCAGATACAAGAAATCCAGAGACACCTGCAATATTCTATAAAAAATAAACATCACCAAGGCATACGCTCACCAGACTGTCCAAGGTCAACGTTAAAGAAAAAATCTTAAAGACAGCTAGAGAAAAAGGGCAGATGATATACAAAGGGTATCCCATCAGGCTAACAGCAGACTTCTCAGCAGAAACCTGACAAGTCAGGAAAGACTGGGAGCATATTTTCAGCATTCTTCAAGAAAGGAAATTCCAACCAAAAATTTCATAACCTGCCATCTAAGCTTTATAAGCAAAAATCAAATAAAATCTTTTCCAGACAAGCAAGGACTAAGGAAATTTATTACCTCTAGGCCGGCCTTACAAGAGACTCTTAAGGGAATTCTAAAGATGGAAACAAAATAACAGTACCTGCTACCAGAAACACTTGCTTAAGTACATAGCTCACAGGTTCTATAAAGCAACAACACAGTAAAAACTACAAAGCAACCAGCTAACAACTTCATAATAGGATCAAAACCTCACATATTAATATTAAATTTGGATGTAAATGCTCTAAACACCCAACATAAAGGTAGAATGGTAAGTTAGATTAAAAAAAAAAAAAACTCATGCATCTGCTGTCTTCAAGAGACCCATCTCACACATATTGACACTCCTAGACTAAAAGTAGTGGGTTGGAGAAAGATCTAACACACAAACAGAAAACAAACAAAAAAAAAAACATCAGGAGTCACTACTCTTATATCAGATAAAACAGACTGTAAACCAACAACAACAAAAAGACAAAGAAAGGCATTACATAATGATAAAGGGCTCAAGTCAATAAGAAGACTTAACTATCCTAAATATATATGCACCCAACATTGCAGCACCCAGATTTGTACAAGCAGTATTTCTAGACCTATGAAAAGACTTAGAAGACCACACAACAATAGTGAGGAACTTCAACATCCCTCTGTCAGCATTAGACATCTACAGAACTTTTCACACATCAAACACAGAATATACATTCTTCTTATCTGCCCACAGTACATTATCCAATATCAACGAAATGCTTGGCCATAAAGCAAGCCTCAATTAATTAAAAAAAAATTGAAAGCACACAAACCATATTCTCAGACCACAGTGCAAAAAAAAAAAAAAAGAAATCAATACCAAGAAGATCACTCAGAACCACCTAATTATAGTAAAAATTAAACAGCTTGCTCCAGAATGACTTTTGAATAAACAGCAAATTTAACATTGAAATTAAGCTTAAAAAATTATTTTAAATAAATGAAAACAGATACAACATACCAAAATCTCTGGGATACATAAAAAACAGTGTTGAGGAAGGTTTGTAACATTAAATACCTATGTCAAAAAGTTAGAAAAACCTCAAATTAATTATCCAACATCACATCTAGGGGAATTAGAAAAAATAAGAACAAAGTAACCTCAAAGCTAGCAGGAAAAAAATAAAATAACCAAACCAGAGCAGAATTGAATAAAATTAAGACCCCCAAATTATACAAAGAATCAACAAAACCAAAAGTTTGTTTTTTGAAAGCATAAACAAGATTGATAGACCCTCTCTACAATATACAAATAAGTACAATCAGACATGAAAAAGATGACATTACAAATGATCCTATGAAAATACAAAAGATCATTGGAGACTATTATGAACATCTTTATGCACACAAACCAGAAAAATCTGGAGAAAATGGATAAATTCCTAATAACACACAATCTCCCAAGGTTCAATAGGAAGAATTTGAAACCTTGCATAGACCAATTGGGTTTTGAAACTGGACCAATAATAAGAAATCTACCAATAGACCCAGACAAGATGGATTCTCAGCTAAATTCTACCAGAGATACAAAGAAGAGCTTGTACCAATTCTACTGAAACTATTCCAAAAAATAAAGGAGGAGGGTCTCCTCTCTAACTCATTACGCAAAGCCAGAGTCACTCTGATACCAAAACCTGGCAAATATATAATGAAAAAAGAATACTACAGGTCAATATCCCTGATGAACACAGACAAAAATCCTCAACAAAATCCCAGCAAACCAAGTAGGAAAGCACACCAAAAAGTTAATTCACCATGATCAAGTAGGCTTTATTCAAGCAGGTTTTATTTATTCCTGTGATGTAACATTATTTCAACATACACAAATCAATAAATGTTATTCATCACATAAGCTGAATAAAAACAAAAACCATATAGATGCAGAAAAAGCATTCAGAAAATCCAACATCCCTTTATGATAAAAATCATCAAGACACTAGGCATTGAAGGAACATACCTCAAAATAAGAGCCATCTATGATCACCCCACAGACAACATCATACTGAATGGGCAAAAACTAAAAGCATTTCTGATGCTAACTTTTACCACACCTACTCAACATAGTACTGGAAGTGTTAGCAAGACCAATCAGGTAAGAGAAAGAAATGAAAGGCATGCAAAAAGGATAAGAAGAACTCAAACTAGCTGTCTTCACATATGATACGATTCTGTACCTAGAAAATCCTAAAGACTCCCTCAAAAGGCTGCTGGAACTGATCAGTACAACTTCATTAAAGTTGCAGATTATAAAATCAGCATCACTTTTATAAACAAATAGAGTATGTATATAAAAATGAGAGATGAGAGCCAAATCAATAACACAATTCCATTTACAATAGCTGCAAAAAAAATACCTAGGAATACATATAACTAAGGAGGTGAAAGATCTTTAAAAGAAGAACTGCAATACACTGCTAAAAGAAATCATAGATGACATAAACAAATAGAAAATCATTCCATGCTCAAGGATTGGAAGAATCAATATTGTTAAAATATCTATATTGCCCAAAGCAATCCACAGATTCAATACTATTCCTATCAAACTACCAATGTCATTTTTCACAGAACTACAAAACACTATTCTAAAATTCATATGGAACCCAAAATCAGCCTGAATAGTCAAAGCAATCTTAAGCAAAAAGAACAAAATCTGAGGCATCATATTACCTGACTTCACTCTATACTGTAAAGCTACAGTAACCAAAATAGCCTGGCACTGGTACAAAAACAGCATCACATAACCTGAATTCAAACTATACTGTAAAGCTACAGTAACCAAAACAGCCTGGTACTGGTACAGAAATAGGCACACAGACCACTGGAACAGAATAGAGAAACCACAATAAAGCTATCAGATATTTTTTGAAAATGACAAAAATAAGCAGTGGGGAAGAGACTCCCTACTCAATAAACAGTGGTGGAATAGCTTGCTAGGCATATGCAGAAGATTTAAATTGGACCCCTATATTTCACCCTATACAAAAATGAACTCGAGAGATTAAATATTTAAATGGAAGACCTCAAATTATAAGAATTCTAGAAGGAAATTTAGGAAACACTATTCTGGACATTTGTCTTGGAAAGAATTTATGACTAAGTCCTTAAAAGCAATTTCAACAAGAACAAAATAGAGAAGTGAGACCAAATTAAACTAAAAGCTTCTGCTCAGCAAAATAAACTATCAATAGAATAAATATACAACCTACAGAATGCTAGAAAATATTTGCCAACTACACACCTGACAAACATATAATAACCAGCATCTATAAGAAATTTAAACAAGTGAATAAATAAAAAAACTCCATTAAAAATTGGCAAAAGGTATAATCAGACACTTCTCTAAAGAATACATAAAAGTGGGCCACCAATATATAAAAAAAGTTCCACATCACGAATCATCAGAGAAATGCAAATCAAAACCACAGTGGGATACCATTTCACTCCAGTCAGGATGTCTCTTATTAAAAAGTCAGAAAAACTGCAGATAATGCTGATGAGACTGCAGAGAAAAGGGAACACTTACACACTGTTGGCAGGAATGTAAATTTGTTTAGCCACTGTGGAAAACAGTTTTGAGATTTCTCAAAAAGCCTAAAACTAAAATATTAATATCATTTGATGCTGCAATCCCATTACTGAGTATATATCTGTATTAGTACATTCTCACTCTGCTATAAAGAACTGCCTGAGACTGGATAATTTATAAAGGTAAGAGGTTTAATTGACTAACAGTTCCACATGGTTGGGGAGGCCTCAGGAAACCTACAATCATGACAGAAGGGGAAGAAAACACATCCTTCTTCACATGATGGCAGGAAGGAGAAGTACCTAGCAAAAGACGGAAAAGTTCGTGATAAAACCATCATATCTTGTGAGAACTCACTCACTGTCACAAGAACAGAAGCATGGGGGTAGCTGCCCCCATGATTAAATTACCTCCCAGTGGGTCCCTCTCACAACATGTGGGGATTATGGGAACTACAATTCAAGATGAAATTTGTGTGGAGACACAGCCAAAACACATAAATATCCAAAAGACAGAAATTTGTTCTACCAAGAAGACACATGCAGCTGCATATTCATCACAGCAGTATTCACAATAGCAAAGACCTGAGTCAACCAAGGTGCTCATCAACAGTGGACTGAGTGAATAAAATGTGATATATATATACACACACATATACACACACACACACACACATATGTGAGATATATATATGTGATATATATGTGAGAGATATATGTGAAATATATATGTATCTATATATGGTGTGTATATATATGGTGTGTATATATATATATATGGTGTGTATATATATCTATATATGGTGTGTATATATATGTGAGATATATATATGTGAGAGATATATATCTGAGATATATATATGTGAGAGATATATATGAGAGATATATATGTGAGAGATATATATGAGAGATATATATATGTGAGAGAGATATATATATGAGAGATATATATATGTGAGAGAGATATATATCTCAGAGATATATATCTCAGATATATATATCTCAGAGATATATATCTCAGATATATATATCTCAGAGATATATATCACATGGTGTATATATATGTGTATATATATGTGAGAGATATATATATCTGTATGTGGTGTGTATATCTATATATGGTGTGTATATATATATCTATATATGGTGTATATATATCTATATATGGTGTGTGTATATCTATATATGGTGTGTGTATATATATATATATATGGTGTGTGTGTGTATATATGTATATATATATATATACATATATACACACACACACCATGAAATACTACACAGTCACACAAAGTAAAGGAATTATATCCTTTGCAACAACATGGATACAGCTGGAGGCCATTATACTATTGGCATTAATGCAGTAACAGCAAACCAAATGCTGCATGTTTTCACTTGTAAGTGGGAGCTAAACATCAGTTACTCATGGACAGAAGATGGCAACAATAGACACTGGTGACTACTAAAGAATGGAGGAAGACAGGAGGACAAGAGTTAAAAAACTAACTATTGGGTACTACACTCAGTACCTGTGTGATGGAATCATTTGCACCCCAAACCTCAGCATCATACAATATACCCAGGTAATAAACCTGCACATGTACCTCCTCAATCTAAACTAAAATTTGAAAAATAAATAAATAAAAAATAATAATATACTCCATTGGCATCATGAAAGACAGGTCAAATCTTTCTCTTCACATCTTTGATTTCAGAATATATGTACCACTGCATAAGCTATGTCAACTTCATCACTTAATACAGTTTAATTATGGACTTCTTTTAATTGTCTTCTGAATTTTCAGACTTCCTTTGGGCTGGAGGACAAACTTAGAAGCTTCCCTTCAGAGTCATCTTGGAAGGATTCTTGAGTGAAGCAGGAAGGAAACGGCAAGGCAGAAATCAGATGACAGAGGGCACCCACAGCTATGGCAACCTGGAGAGCACATGATCCCACCTCGTAGGCATTGAAGTTCAAGTCTCCCAAATGCCATGAACTGCCCAGACATTGCTGATAGGCTTGCACCCTTAAGTCCATTCCCAACTGGATGGGTGCTTGGAGGAAGATAACTTCATTTATCCTACGAATGATACATATAAGTAAAGGCGATATTTCAACCACACTCAGGAGCTCTCTGCACACCTGTAACATGGATGGATGTCTAAGATGCTCTGACTACTAAGGACAGACCCATTGCCTTACAACAATGGCAGGACGATGGGCCTTTACAAAGTGACCATTCTGAGAGCCTGACCATCCAGATCAGTGGTTTCTGTGTAAAGGCAGGCCACTCCAGACTTGTGGCAATGGCACACACAGAGTGGCTGCGACAGGAACATTGCATTTATTAATTCATCTGGAAAGCCAAACCCCTTGTATAGAGAAACTGTTATGTTCATAATGTCCAACATGGAAGATATGGACTCCCACAGATACAATGACCACCCAGCTGGACTGAGACCAAATAGATGAAAACACAATTCTTTCTTTTCTCACAAGTTTTGGTTTGAAAGGTAGCATATATCCACTAAAATGCATACTTCCTAATGATATAGCTTTAATGGATAGATACTCCAGTGTTTCCCACATTTGTATTAAGATGCAGCCTATTTTCGTCACCCCAGAAAGTTCCCCTGCTCCATACTAATGCCCTATAAGGAGAAGCCAAGTTTTATTTTTATTTTTTAGCATATATTTGATTGCCCATTCTAGAAATTCATGTGAATAAAATGATACTGTATGTAAAACAAACAAAACAAAACCCAAAAAGTAAAAAAACATACAAATCTATCATGGAAACATCCTCACAGACATAATTAGAAAAATATTTTATCAGATATCTGATTATCCCTTGATCTAGTAAAATTGACACCTAAACTTAATCAACATACAGTAGCAAATCAAAAGGATGGACTAATATAATGATCATCTGTCTTTAGCTAAGGAATATAAATTACTTTATATTATATTAGGTATTATTTGGTCAAGTCAAAAGTCTCTGTCATTATCTACATTTCCAAAATTAATAGAGTAGTGCCTGATACAAAATAATTTCACATTTATAAATTAGTTTACCATCCTAAAATAATACTTTATAACAATCATTTCTGTTAAAAATCCTCAATAATTTTTCACTGCCCCTCAGATGACCAAACTCTATATTTTGATAATTGATTCCCTAAAGTTTCACTCTATTGTATTGTTTAAATGTTTTGTTCAATTACTTCTTTTGACAAATCTCTTACCTCAGTGAAACTGGTCTATTCACTGTTCTCCCAAAATGTTATATTCATTATGAATGAAAATCTATAATAAGGGTGAACACTTGCCAAGTACTCTTTCTTCATTTTTGCTTTTTTTGATTTCTACCAGTGTACATTTTCTTCTTGAATCCTTTTCCAGTTTTCTAAATACTTAATGATTTCTTTCTCTTAAGAACATCAATCTTTCTTCTTCCTTTACCCCTAGCATGTGCAAAAAAAAAAAACCCACTTTATCATATTTATATGTCTTGTGACAGTTATGTTTATGTTAGGCAAACATAGGAAAAAATTTCTTTTCATAGGGCCATCTTAAAACTTCCTAATTCATAAAAAAACTCACTTCACAAAGGCTTGTAATTTATAATTCACTATAAACCAGAAAATTTTCTTTATTTAAAAATTTTAGCACCTTTGGACATAATCTTGCTTTTATTCAACAGAGAGATATATACTCTTTCACTGGTCTGGTGTTTAGAATTCTAAAATTAAGGTTTTTTTTAAAAAAAATGGAATTCTTTCTATCATTTGTTTTGTTTTATTTTAAAAAGTTATTGATTCTTTGGTTTATCTAATTATTTATTCATCTTATATGTAATTTATACACAACTTATATATATCTTATACATGATTTATATATCGTAAATGTGTTTTCATTCAATTTTGATAATTGCATATTAAGATTGGAACATTTCCATCACCCCAATACATTTATTCATTCCTCCTTTCCACTAATCTGCTCCTCTGCTGATGTGTTATCTATCAACAAAGATTAGTTTTCCTGATTCTGCAATTTCATGTACATAGAATCATGTAGTATACACTTCTTGTGTCTAGCTCCTTTTACTCAGCATAATACTCTTGAGATCAATTGGTGTTGCATGCATCAGTAGTTTACTCCTTTTAATTTTGGAGTGGTATTTTATTTTGTGACAGTGACACAGTTTATCAATTTTCCTGTTGATGGATAGCTGCATCGTTTGCAGTTTTTGCCTCTTATAATTAAAGCTGATATTTAACAATTTTAAGTAACTGACAAGTTTCTTTACCAATGAAGTTGTAACATTTTACCTTCTCTCAGATATGTTGGCAATTTCTGGTTTTACAACATCTTCTCTAACATTTGGTATTTTAAATCTTATTACATTTTAGCCATTCAAGTGGAGATATAGTGGTATGTTGCTTTGGTTTTTAACTGATATTTTCTTGATACCAGTAATGTTTAGTATCTTTTAATGCACATATTGACCATTGGTATAAATGTGTGTGTGAAGAGTTTGTTCAAATTTTTGCTCTATTATATTGGGTTCTATATTTATTGTTGCGTTAGGATAGCGAATTACTTTCCTAGGGCTGCTTGAACAAAATCCCACAAACTACAGGGCTTAAAACAACAGAAATATGTTCTTTCACAGTTTTTGAGTTTAGAAGTCTAAAATTAAGGTCTTGGTAAGGCCAGCTCTCTCCAAGCTTCTACAAGATAATCTGCTCCTTACCTTTTTCTTTGCTTCTATTATTGTCAGAAATATTGATGTTCCTTGACTTACCAATCCCCATCTACATTATCACCTGATGTTCTGCTTGTTCTCTGTGTCATGTGGCCATTTTTTCATAAAAACACCAGTTGTATTGGGTTAAGGGTCTATGTTAATCCAGTAAACTCCATCTTAACTTAACTAATTGTATCCACAATGCCCCTATTTTCAAGTCATTCCAAGGTCCGGGTGGTTAGGGCTTCAACATGTATTTTGGAAAAGAGACTCAATTCAACCTATAACATATAGGAAATATTTATCTACATGTTATAGGTTGAATTGAATCTATGTATTAGGTTTTGAAGAAAAAGTATTTTGTTATTGTGATAGTAAGATGTTTGAGGGCCATTGTGTTGAGAGTTTACACTGGCAAGGTAGGTTTTCAGACTCAGAAGCTGGCACGTTGTCATAAAAAGGATTACTCTTCTTTCATTGGTTTTGGGAAACCACTGAAGTATTGTAAACGTGAAGATAACAAAATCTTTAAAAATGCTTTCATAGACAACTACAATGGCCATCCAACAGATTTTCTCTACCTTCAAGCTTCCCAAACAAACCCACAACCAACTTACACACTATCACTGCAGCTGATCAGTTTTGCTCACTTTGATCACATTTCATTCAAGTAGCCCCTTCTCTATTAAGATTTTTCTCATTTTACCAAGTAGAGTTGTCCACTACCCTCAGTTATCTGTTATATATGCTTAATTTGTTGATTTTTTAACATAGAACTACATTTATAAATCTGTTATTATCTTTTCCAGACTTCCAGCTCAGTGAGGGCAGAATCTATTAGTCATCTTTACGATCCCAAGGCTAGCATTTGTGCTAGGAAGACCACTTTTGCTCCATAAAAGGTGGTTAAATGAAAATAATGATTGAAAGAGGAAGTTAAAAATATTTATAGCTCAGGAAAATATTAAAGCTACTGGTAGGCCAACTGATTTATTTTGAAGTATACATATAATTGTATTAGGAAAGATAACAGTATTAGAAGTCAGGTATTTGAGTCCTGTCGTCCAGTTATTTCCTATTAAAATACGAAGTTTAAACCAATTTACAATTTTGATCCTTACCTGATTCTCAGGAATAGTTGTACAGCTTTCTTAGGAATTTCTCTACATTGAGAGAGTCTTATAATATAATGAATAATTATTATGCTATAAATCTAGTTGTATCCTTATTTTTGTGTTATTTTATCACATAGGTACTATTTTTATATTGTGCGGATTTGCAGAATTAATTTATTGGATTATAGAATTATGGAGCTTAATGAGTTTTAAGTTTGCCTATTCACTCTAATGCCTTAAATTTAATAATTTGTTAAGCATGTGATGAAAAATTTCTAAAGTTTGATAGTTACTTCAGTTTGATTTATTAAATAACCCACATTTTACAAATAATGCATATTGGTTATTAATTACTTTATGATAAAGTCATTTAACTTCTTTTTATTCATTAATTCATCTTCTAAGGAATTTTTACTGGCCTTATACATTTCTTTAAAAACTATCATTTTTTAACTAGGGTCAAAGTTTAGCATGGGTAGACATTTGTTTATTGGCATATTTATTGTCACCCAACTTCAATTTTTTAATACATACTGGATGTCTGAGATGTAGCTCTGCTTTAAATAATTTCTTCAGGATCATTCCCTTAATTCTTCCAGTGGCAGCAAGTACAGCATCATTAATCCCTTGCATTCTCATCATTAGTGACTTAATTCAAGTGGAGCTTTGGGATGCTATATTCCAGTCCAAAGCAGAAAATACTGATAAGGAAAAAAAAAGTTTACCAGTCATGTATTGCATTTCAGGGACCCTAGAAAGACACACACTTGAGTCAACTATAGACAATAACCAATGCCCCTGATAAGATTTGGCTGTGTTCCTGCCCAAATCTCATCTTGAATTGTAATCCCCACAGTATCCATGTGTCTTGGAGGGACCTGATGGGAGGTAAGTGAATCATGGGGGCAGTTTCCCTCATGCTGTTCTCATTATAGTGAGTTCTCATAAGATCTGATGGTTTTATAAGCATTTAGCATTTTCCCTGCTGACACTCATTCTCTCTCTTGCCGCCCTGTGAAGAGGTGCCTTCCACCATGATTGTAAGTTTCCTGAGGCCTCTCCAGTCATGTGTAACTGTGAGTCAATTAAACCTCTTTCCTTTATAAATTACCCAGTCTCATGCAGTTCTTTATAGCAGTATGAAAATGAACTAATATAGCCCCCAAGCAGTTAGAGTGCTGCTTTAATTCCTACTTTCCCAAACCCTATGTGGCTACAGATTACATGCAGTGACTCTCCACTACCTGGAGACCTAGAGTAGTTTCAGAGCTGGAAAACTTTACACCAAAATTGTACTTAGAATTTTGAGACTTATTAGTTTCTTCAAAATCTTTTATCCCTATTCTCCTCGATCACTCTCACAAAATGTAAGCTCTACAATTGTCTATTCTTTCTCATTCCTCAGTACCAAACTCCCTCTAGACATTCATAGTTTCCCATTTATCCAGGAACAACTGTTTTATACTCTCAATCTTATAAAAACCTTCTTCTACCTTATATTTTTCTTTACTTGAACTAAAACTTTGCTTCCCACTGAAGAAATGATTTTTTCAGAGTCACTCTAGTAAAGGATATGAAACCTCCTAAACACCAATCATCAAGATTTGGAGTGGGCATATTGCCCTTCTTAATTCTATCTTATATCACATTTTCCTTCCTATAGAGGAAGGAAAGCCTATTCTAGCCTACAGATAGAAGCCTATTTGTTGATTTCTATCTCTTGCTTATTCAGCATAAGCTCTAATATACCTCATTTTAATCACACACAGACAGCTCCCTGGAACCATTCAACCCCATCTCTCCATCACATCAGTGCTATCAAAACCCAGTCATTTGGCATCTCATCTCCAACAACTGGGTTGTTTAAATGCAGCTTGGGGGAATTGCAATTAGTTGTCTATTCTATTTCAGAATACTCTAGTAAATGCTTAATCTACATGTTTCTCAATACATATTTCTAAAAGCTTGTCTAAGGCCAATTCCATTTTTAATCATATGTAACACATTTAAGTCACACTTACATATTGGTTATCTTTCTGGAGGTGAGGGTTGACTCCTGTTTTCCAAATTTTTCATCTTGACACAAAGGCACAAGCTCATCTGGGTGCTAAGTGACCTTGTCCTGTGCTTGTTTGTTTTCCTTTAAGAGCTGTATGAATTGCTGTGCACATGGCATTATCTAATTGACATATGTAGTATGTAACCAATTCTTGCTTTTCCCACCCAGGATTTAATGTTCAGTCCTGTCTTCTTTTCATTTATAACTCATTTTCTAAAAATTATGTCTATTTTCATGTTTTTAACTGCCATGGGCCAATAATTCTAAATTCTCTTTCTGTAGTTCCAGGTATTCCTTAATATCTAGAACTGAATATCCAACTGCATGAATCTCCATCTGGATGGCCCACAAATACCTCACAGATGACACGACCAAAAACTAAATAAATACTCTTTTTCTTATTTCTTTTTTTCCCTCTTTAGTTCCCTACTTGGGTAAATGGCTGTTTTATAAGAGTTAAAGATTCTTTTGTTGGCAGAACACAGCAAACTGACACTCAGACAGATGAAAGGCAGAACTCTTTGGTGCTTACAGCTCCAACTGAAAGAAAGTTGCTGGCCAGGCACGATGGCTCATGCCTGTAATTTCAGCACTTTGGGAGGCCAAGGCAGGCAAATCACTTGAGGTCAGGAGTTTGAGATGAGCCTGACCAACATGAAGAAATCCCGTCTCTACTAAAAATACCAAAATTAACTGGTCATGGTGGTGCATGCCTGTAATCCCAGGTACTCAGGAGGCTGAGGCAGGAGAATCGCTTGAACCCGGGAGGCAGAGGTTGTGGTGAGCCAAGATTGCGCCATTGCCCTCCAGCCTGGGCAACAAGAGCGAAACTCTATCAAAAAAAAAAAAAAAAAAAAAAAAGGAAAAGAAAAGAAAAAAGAAAGTTGCCAAGTAGCGCCACACAGAGAGTTGCATGTGGGGAAAGGGTAACAGCAAATTGAAATCAGTGGGTACCTATGCAGATCAATCAACACAGAGTTAGCTAGGTTTTTGAGGCTGCTTGTGAGCTTGCTTATTTGAATAATATTGCAGGCTCTAGTCATAGAGGCTGTCCCCAGTTTTCTGGTACTTGGCCCTGGGAAGATTAGGGATGGTGAATAGTGGTCAAAGTGAGAAAGCCTAATGAGAGGAGTGATCAGAGTGTGGACTTAATGAACTGCACAGGAAGAACTAATAGGCCTCTACCAGGGCCTCAAAACTGAGTCAAGAGAGCTTTGGAAATAAGTATATATTTATAGATATCCATGTATGCATAAATATACATATCACACACACACATACTTAGTATATATAACAAATTATGTATAACAATAGCCAAGTAATTTAGCCCAGAGTCAAATGCTTTCTCCTCTTCATGATTCTATTATTTTTATTTCCAAAATAAAGTTTTTGTTCATTATTATCTTATAGATTCTTCTTATTCTAAGTCTGCTCTTTCTTCTTAGCTTTTGCTAATGCTTCTTCCTGTCGTTATCATACTAAACTTCCTGTTTCTAAATATGATTATGGCATTCTTGTCCTAAAAATTATCTTTAACTTGAAAAATTTAACACATAAAATCTCAGCCTGTTAGTATTCTATGCAGTCATGTCTACCTCTGTAACTTTAACTTCTGCTCATCTCTCACTCTACAATATGCCTAGCTTAATTAAAGAAACAGAAAAGGACCAATAAATAGTTAAGTGAATGAATAAACTGACTATAGCATGCCAATAATAAAATTTCTTGGGCAAATTTTTCTGTGCATGGGTTATATTTTAATGATTTAGTAGTAAAAGCACAAGCAAGGGGACAGCAAAACTGTTCTTTGGAGTAAGGTATGAAAATTGAGGTGTTATATAGATGGGATCAAAGATTAGTATAATGACTTCTATATTTTTGATAATATCATTAAAGTTTATTTTCACATAGAGACAGGGTCTCTGTAGTGGTGAATCTAACTCCATTTTCTGATATTTGCTGACAGGTTTTAGCTTACTTCTCCCTTGTGCCTCACATCTGTGCTGGCTGATAAGACCCACTCCTTTAGAGGCATTTAAGCCATACAAGCCCTGCCTGCAGGCAGGGACTCTCAACCCAGCCCCAGCCCCTAACCACGGGGAATTCTCTTCTTGCTCTCTCAAGCCTTTTTTTATTTTATTTTTTTAAAAAATTTGTGGGTACATAGTAGGTGTATATATTTATGGGGTACATAATATATTTTGATACAGGCAGGCAAGGTGAAATAATGTATTTGCCACAATGTGTTTATTTCTCAAGCCATTTTGGACATGCTTGAGAAGTTTGTCCTGCTCTCTCCATAGACTTTAATTACGCAAGTAATAAACATCGTCATGGCATCTTAGTATGTGTGTTGTATCCTCAGTCTCAACATCTGAACCCAATTTGGAATGGGAGGGGTCCTTTTTTCTTTTTCAGGGTGACCATATGAGTGTGAGATGCCAAGCATGTCAATATGAATCAGAATCTAGTCAGAACTTCTCAGAAGCAGGTAATAAGGACTCATCTGTGTTTGAGACTGGAATTATAAGTTTTATATCCTTCATAAGGAATAATGAGGCTAACATGGAAGCACAAAAAATGTTGCAGAATCAGAAACACAGACATGTGCAGTATGTCCTATTTTAAATCGGACACTGCCCATTTTTTAGCTGAAAAAAGGCTTTTAAATACACTTTTCACTCATTTTTTAATTTCAAGTCTCCCATTTTAGTCTTTGAAAAGCCATTTCATAAAAAAGCTCTGCCATAATTGAGGTCATTAGAGGGAATGTGGCAAAGTTCTGGCTCATTAAAAATAATTAGCCTCAAGAGAAAGAAATAAAGCATATTCAAATGGGAAGAGAGGAAGTCAAATTGTCTCTACTTGCAGATGACATGATTGTATATTTAGAAAACCCCATCATATCAGCCCAAAATCTCCTTAAGCTGATAAGCAACTTCAGCAAAGTCTCAGGATACAAAATCAATGTGCAGAAATCACAAGCATTGCTATACACCAATAATAGACAAGCAGAGAGCCAAATCATGAGTGAATTCTTATTCACAATTACTACAAAGAGAATAAAATACCTAGGAATACAACTTACAAGGGACATGAAGGACCTCTTCAAGAGAATTACAAACCACTGCTCAAGAAAATAAGAGAGGATACAAACAAATGGAAAAACATTCCATGCTCATGGATAGGAAGAATCAATATCATGAAAATAGCCATAGTGCCCAAAGTAGTTTCTAGATTCAATGCTGTTCCCATCAAGCTACCATTGACTTTCTTCACAGAACTAGAAAAAACTACTTTAAATTTCATATGAAACAAAACAAAACAAAAAAGCTTGTATAGCCAAGACAATCCTAAGCAAAAGGAACAAAGCTGGAGGCATCATGCTACCTGACTTCAAACTATACTACAAGGCTACAGTAACCTAAACAGCATGGTACTGCTACCAAAACAGATATATAGACCAATGGAAAAGAACAGAGGCCTCAGAAATATCACCACACATCTACAACCATCTGATCTTTGACAAACCTGACAAGCAATGGGGAAAGAATCCCTATGTAATAAATGGTGCTGGGTAAACTGGCTAGCCATATGCAGAAAACAGAAACTAGACCCCTTCCTTACATCTTACACAAAAATGAACTCAAGATGGATTAAATATTTAAACGTAAAACCTACAACCATAAAAACCCTAGAAGAAAACCTAGGCAATATTATTCAGGACAACATAGGCATAGGCAAAGACTTCATGATTAAGACACCAAAAGCAATGGCAACAAAAGCCAAAATGGACAAATAGGATCTAATTAATCTAAAGGGCTTCTTTTGCACAGCAAAAGAAACTATCGGAGTAAACAGGCAACCTACAGAATGGGAGAAAATTTTTGTAACCTATCCATCTGACAAAAGTCTAATATCCAGAATCTACAAAGAACTTAAACATATTTACAAGAAAAAAAACAAACAACCCCATCAAAAAGTGGGTGAGGATATGAACAGACACTTTTTAAAAGAAGACATTTATGTGGTCAGCAAACATATGAAAAAAAGCTCATCATCCCTGGTCATTAGAGAAATGCAAATCAAAACCACAATGAGATACCATCTCATGCCAGTTAGAATGGAAATCATTAAAAAGTCAAGAAACAACAGATGCTGCAGAGGATGTGGAGAAATGGGAACACTTTCACACTGTTGGTGGAAGTGTAAATTAGTTAAACCAGTGTGGAAGACAGTGTGATGATTCCTCAAGGATCTAGAACCAGAAATACCATTTGACCCAGCAATCCCATTACTGCGTATACACCCAAAGGATTATAAATCATTCTACTAAGTCCAAAGACTTGGAACTAACCCAAATGCCCATCAACGATAGACTGGATAAAGAAAATGTGGCACATGTACATCATGGAATATTATGCAGCCATAAAAAGGAATGAGTTTATGTCCTTTGCAGGGACATGGATGAAGCTGGAAACCCTCATCCTCAGCAAACTAACACAGGAACAGAAAGCCAAACAACTCATGTTCTCCCTCATAAGTGGGAGTTGAATAATGAGAACACATGGACACAGGGAGGGGAACATCACACACCAGGGTCTTTTGTGGGGTTGGGAAAAATGGGAGGGAGAGCATTAGGACAAATACCTAATGCATGCAGGGCTTAAAACCTAGATGACAGGTTGATAGGTGTAGCAAACCACCATGTCACATGTATACCTGTGTAATAAACCTGCACTTTCAGGACACGTATACCAGAACTTAAAGTTAAAAAAAGAAAGAAAAAAAGAAAAGAAAAAATCAGGAGTATAAAATAAATAAATAAATAAATAAAAACTAATAATTAACCTTTTCCTCTTTTAATTGTGCTTTATTTAATTTGCTTACAATGAATTGCCTTATTTTTTTCTACATTTTTCTTCATTTTTTTCTAAGGTGAAGAGTTTATAATCTCTTAAAGATTGTTTTTCCAGCTTTTGACCTAATCTTTTGGCTTTTCTTTGAATCCTTTTCAAATTATTATACTTGCCCTCTGCCTATTAATATTATTTATGGAGTCTACAACTCTTAATGGTGCCTAAGGAACATTTAAATTAGCACTAAGTATAAAGATGTTCTCATTTTTCTACTTTCTGTATCCCTGTAGAATATCGGCTGATAGAATATTTTCTCATCTATTACTGATTCCTGAGCCTACCTCAGGCACACATGTAGGCTCTGGTCATTTGAAATTTACTTATGTGTCATGAAAATCACTATCATTACTGTCACCATAATAATCTGTATGTGCTTATTAAATGTTTTCTGCACAGATTGACTACAAAGCACTAACCCATTTGCTGAAAATGGAGAGAAGTTCAATAACTAAGAATTCTGCTCAGGAACTTTTTGATTGGAGAAAGATCATATGCCACCTAGCAAATGATTAGAATAAATTATAAGTTTATAAAATTTCAGAAGAGAGTTTATATGATTAGAGATGGCTTCACAGAGGATGTAGAATGTAAAAGACAACAGAGTTTAGAAAAGTAGAGATTAAAAAAAAGTCATTTCTAGTAGATCTTATATTCTCAACCCATATAGAGGAAGATGAGCAGAGAACTCTGGCAGGGATGAACAGATGTGGGGAGTAACTGGGATATAAAGTGAATGAGGCAAGTTGGTGCTCAGTGGTAGAGGTACTAGACATGAAACCAGGAGTTTGGAAAAGTTGGTTGGGCACATTTGAAATAAAAATAACATGGGTTCAAATGTCTTTTCTGCTGCCTTTCTGCCGCCTTTCTGCCAATTGACATTGGTCATTAGGTTAACTCTTTCTGTTCTAATTTCTTCATTTGTACAATGAGGATAATTAATACAATTACTTGTTACATTTTTAGCAAAGATTAACATGCTTAGCAAAATATCTTTGAAGAGGGTATTACCTATTCTTATTTATTGTGTTGTTATTATTTCTGAGCAGAGAGAATAAGACAATTTTCTAGCTGTTTTTGATACTTTATGGTTCTTTAATAAAAGGAGCTAGGACTCCTTAGATAAATGGCTGAGTATAGGACTGGGGTGAGAAATATGCAAGATGAGTATATACTCCATCTTGTCCCAGAAAGTTAAAAAAAAAAAGCTAAAAATGGGATTATGTCAAAGGGATACAGAAGCCAATCTAAAGAGCTCCCAAAGGCCAACCCTGGATTAATTCAAGTAATAAAATAAATAAAATAGTATTGGATTATAAACCTAAGTATAAAATAAATATCCATGAGTCCATACTATCATACTTAAATAACTGAATACCCAAAAAGTATTCGCAATTCTCCTGCACAGTAATTTCTTTTGCAAGAGAATTCTGAATACGTTATGTAAATGCTTTGCCTTCAAGGAGGTCGAGTTCTTACTCCATTAAGTATGGACTTCACATGGGAACACCCTTCCAAAAAGCACATATAGAAAAAGTGAAAAGAGAGTAACTTTACAGTGGAGAAATATGACACAAACTATCTAAAGCAAGTGATCAACATCAGCATCAACAATGATGAGTTGTAAATCATGTTGATAATATGTACTCTTGATATGATGTGATAAGAATGACAATTTATCTTTGTGGAACACTCCCAAAGGCACATAACCCAGTCAATTCATGAGATAAACATCAGAAAAATCCCATTTGAGGATATTCTACAAAATATCTGATCAGTACTCCTCAAAACAGTGAGGGTCATCAAAAACAAGAAAAGTCTAAAACACTGTCATAGACAAGGGGAGCCTGAGGAGACATGAGAGCTAAATGCACTATGACATCTTGGATGGGTCCTGAAGCAGAAAAACATTAGAAAAAAACTAAAAAAAATCTAAATTTAATATAGACCTTTGTTAATAATGTGTCAATAAAATATGATTTATTGTAATAAATGTGTCATACCAATATAAAATGTTAATAACAGGGATTATATACATATACAATGTGGGGTATATGAAAACTCTTTGTAGTATCTTTGTAATTTTTCTGTAGGTTTAAATCTATTCTAAAATATAAAATTTATTTTTAAAATTGTACATGTTTGTAACGTGGTTTTATATAACCCATATACACAATTTACCTACATATGAGTTTTATGCATTCAGTCTCATTGCTTTACATTCATACCTCAGAGCAACACAGTCAAAGGAAGAATTTATTTCATTTTTCAGATTTTTCATTAAACTCTACCCAAACTCTAAGGGGATGTCAGATCAGTAGGGCTATATTGAACTAAACAAATAAAATAAAACAAGCCTTTGTAATTTTGCCTGCATTCTATCTCTATAGCTATAATTTCTTTCACCACAAATATGTTTGTACCATAAACTATTAATTATAATGTAAATTATATTAAACAAGAAAATGATTTTTGTGAGGAGTGAGTTATTTTGTTACTATCTTATAGCATTGACTAGAAATAGAATTATTTGGAGTGAACCATTAATAGTATTTTAATAGAATACTGGAAAAATTTATTATTATAATTAAAATAATAATGGTGTTTGTTTATGATTTGGCATAACAAGTCCTTAGAAATTTTTATCTGCATTTATGAATTAGATCGGTGGAGATAGGCATGATTATTGCTCATACAATTATTAAGAGAATAACATTTTTTATCAAGCTAATCAACAGTGCAGTATTAATTATTTTATCTATTCAAAGGGAAGAAAAATCCTCCAGCTAAACTGATTATTTTGTTCTCTCTTTCTCTAAATAAACATATGAAAATGTGTTTGTTCTCTTTTTCTCTAAGTAATCATACAAAAAGGCTCTTACTGAATAACCATAATTGTGCATTCTTCATTTAAATTTAAAAAGCACTTGTTGTAGAATCACCAGCGTCCTTGGATCTGTGCTGAAAACAATTGAAGCTGCAAATGCAAGAAAATATATGATATTTTATCCAAAGAAATTAAGAGTCTGGTAGAAAAACAATGTTCTTTTTATTAAAACACCTGAGAAAAATGTCTCAAAATCATGTATGTACAAATATGTGGTATTAAGCATGAAGATTTAAGAAAGAACAACATTTCCTTTGTAAGGTTACTTTAGGAGACATGAGATAGAATCAAAATGAAGGCTTTGAGTAAAGGAAAAAAGTGTTTTAATACAAGGAATGAGAAGGCCGTACAAAGCAGAGGTGAAATACCATGAGAAGATAGAGGAGCAAAGAGAGAGCCTGGAGGAGTTACCCTGGGAAAGAGTGAAGCATGAGGAGGGATGAATCAGTTCTATAGATAGACTATCAATAGCACACAACTGTAGTTTTCAACTCTGGCTGCACATTAGACATAGCCCCAGGGATATTGGTTTAACTGGACAGGGGTGAGGCCCAACCATTGTTACTCTTAGAAAGCTTACCAGATGGTTGTAATGTGTTGCAGGCTGGATAACCAGTCGTTTGAAATGCTTTTTTTCCCCCTCAAATTTTAGCATATGGGATCAGCATCACCTGGAGACCTTGTTAAAACACAAATTTCTGGGCACCCCAGAGTTTCTGATTTACTAGGACTGTGGTAGGTGCTGAAAATGTTCACGTCCAACAAGTTCTCAGATGCTGTTGATGCTATTAGTCCAGGGACCACATTTTGAGAACCACTGTTCTACCACAATGTTGAGGCATTTGGAGATTAAGGTAGTCAATAGGAAACCCCTGAAATTTAATCCAGCAGCAATGAGAAACACAGATTATATACAGTTTTGATACTAAAAGTGTGGTCAACAAATTAGCGGCATCTTAGGTCCTAGTCCAGACCTTTGAAACAGAATCTTTATTTTTGCCAAGGTGCCCATCACCCCTCGCATTCAATTGGTCTTTTCAGTTGAAAAACCGCCTACCTGTGCTAAAACACTGATACTACTCTTCTCAATGATTGAGAAACATTTTTATTTCCACCTGGGGTAAGATATTTCTTTCCTTGGTACGTTTACAAAAGTATTAGCATTCAGGCAAGGGCCATTATGTCATATTTTAGATAAGACCTAGTAAATCTAAATTACTGTACTAAACATATATCACCCTTAAAGTGAAATGTTTGAGCTACATGAGATGGCATCTTCATCTTCTTGAGTTCTAAGAATAGTTAAAACTGTTAGAAAATCCCTAGTCCCCTCTTTGCTTACCAGTTTCTTGAAATTCTTCAATGACATTTCTGTATATCCTTTCAAACACACACAAGCACACACAAACACTGACACAACACACAGCTTAAGAAAATTTACATAGAATTTGTGTAGTTCAATAGACTATTAAAAGATAGGCTTTGATAGCCCTTCTCAATGGAAAATTTTCTTCTGTGTGGAGGAACACATATTATTTACTAAGTCAAACTTCTTTTCTTAAAATAATTGTTCTCTAGTTTATAAATCACAAATATACATTAAAATATTTCACTTTGACTCTGCTCCTTTTATTATTGTTTTTTGGTTTTCTTCCAAGACAAATTTAACTTCAGAATTAGGTTTTTTTTTAATTTGATAAATTAGATATTTTGTTGTGTGAGCTATTTCAAAAAACTAGGCTTTTTCTTTTTACATCAGGGCCTAATTTAATGCCATGTTTCTCATCTTTTTTCTTTCTGCAAATACTTTATGCACAGGAGCCATTTCGCATATTTTATCAGAAAATCTTTGTAAAAGCAGAAATAAACTGTATGAATAGATTTAACTCCATGGGGTGGAAAACAGCAGCTGAAAAATGAAAATAATCTACAGACAAAGCACCTGGCAAATGATGCTATGGCAGGAGGAAGTGGGCCTGGATTTAGAAACAATGTCAGCAGGAGTCTGGAAATAATAACTATCTCATTCTCGATAAGGAAGTAAATGTACTAGCAAATAAATGAACCACCGCAGAGACTAGTAATGCATTTGTCAGTAATAAAATCATAACTAGAAGACAAAAAGGCATAGACTTAAAAGAGAATAAAAAGACAACAGCAGCCAAGATAAACTACCACCATATATAGAAAGAGTGTTTATTCATTTTAAAAATTAATTGGACAGTATACCAAACAAAATAAAAAGAAAATTTTAAACTAACATTTATGATCATACTGGGTTTGACTCAACATTTAACTTCCCAACCATTGCAGCATATATTTGCACAGCAATAGAGGCACAGTAAAAATTAACAGGATAAAATCTCTCTTGATCCCACTTAATCTCTGTTTACATGTATGTTTAAAAGCTGAAAATAGATATTACTTATAGCTCATTTTTCAATCAAGTTTTCACTTCTAATAATAATACTTACTGACCATCTGCAATGTGTCAACCAATATAAGGGATAATTCATATATCTGATAACTCATACTTAGGGCAATAGTTCAAGGAAAGTTTAATATTCTAGTTTTACAAATGATAAAATTGAGGCTAAAATTGATTAAATAACTTGCTGTATATCTGTCTAACTCCAAAGTCCATACACTTTCCATTCTCTAACAATAGCTGTTTAGTCCCACTCAAATATGAACAAGATTTCTATTCCATACTTACCTGAGCATAACCTTCAGAAAACAAGCAGAAAACATCTTACCAAATGCTAATTACATGAATCCATTCAACTTGTCAGCACTTCACTTAGAACTCTTATTTCTCTTGTTGGTTCATTTTGAAGCAATTATATGTCTGGCAAGTGAAAGATATACAGATGACTATATTGACTTATAGGAATAGCTTTGCCAGAATCATCCTTTGAATTTCTGTGTATTTAGTATTAAGAATGTATTTTACATTTAAAAGTTCACTTCTCATACAGCAACATAAAGCATTTTAAGTCATTGTATTTTAGCAACAATAATTAAAGTGTACTTTTTTCTGTAAAACATATTTTAAAATGTTACATTTCACAGTAAGCAAATGTTGATGAAAACCTGATTCATTACAAAGCATTTGATTGTTGTTTAATGTCATCTCACATTAACATAGATTTGATGAGCATCTTGCTGGCATGTGTCCTGGGACTAGCCCTGTTTGGGTAACTTTCTTCTATTTCTAAGTATAAAAGTTCTAGTTTAAAGAAGAAGATTTTGCTTTAAACTTGGACTGATTTTTTTCCTAGCAGATGGATTTTTCTTATTCAGAACACATACAAACATTGTTCAGTGAATAGCAATACTATGGGAATGTCACTTCCCTTGGAAAATTACAGCAAAACTGAACAAAATAGTAAAGAGAAGTGAAGAGAGGGAAGCCCTAATGTCAGGGTGATTCATGGGAGGGATGACCTGGCAGAGAACACAGTTCCTTGTCATCTGAATACATAACAGAGGAGAAGGAGGTGACCTGGCACAAAGAGAGGAGCAGGAGGGAAGGACTTGAAGAAAATCCAATTTTAGGAAAACCTCTGCCAAAAAGCATTGCAGTGTGCCCCTGAGAGTTTCAATTCCAGAATGAGAACTATGTGGCATTTTAAAATAGGCCTAAGTGACTTATATCTGCAAAGTTATAACAAGAATTCATGACTTTAAGATTCTACTTCTCTAAAAATAAAATTAACCCAGCCTTAATGGGTGAGGAGGAAGAAGGGAAACACATTGATGGAGATGGTAAGGCTGTCAGGATCACTTTTTGTGTTTCTTTGATATTGCCTAAATCTTTCTTCAGTAATTTACAGTTAAGGTGATTATAATTTTGAGTACTTTACAGGCTAGATATAGACACACGCTGTGAGTTATAAAATGGGACGTTTAATAATTTCATGTATGTTTCTTTCAGACATACCTTAAATTCTCAGGCACACCTGCTAACAATATTAGGAATCTAAATAGATCAAGCTTGATTTCACAACTTGCTGAGTCAAGCAGTGCTAGTTTGAATCCAGGCTCTACCAGCTATTAGCTGTTGACTTTGGACAAGTTATTAATCCCTCTGGGTCTCATATTCCTCATCAGTAAAATGTGGTAATTATAATGTCTACTTTGCATACATATAACTGGTTTAGAACAGTTAAAAACAAATGGAAAGACCTCAATTCTTAACTATAATAATGATTATATTAATGTCATTATAATTTCAGTATTGTATTATTAACACTGTTGTCCACCCCTGTACCTCCATTCTTTACTCCAGGAAGTTCTAAGGATAGTTGTTGAAGAAAAGGCTTCTGGAATCATGAACTCTGTCTCCAAATCCTGGCTTTGTTACCTACCAGCTTAGAAACCGTAGACTAGTAGTGTCATTTATCTCAGCTACAGTTTCCTTGCCTGTAAAATAAGGTCAATGAATCACTTAACTTACAAGCCAATATGAAGATTACCTGTGATATTTTTGCTAAAGCATATTGCACTATAGTATGAGTTTAATAAATAAATCAGATTTCTGGCTACTCACCACTCCCAGACAGATTGAATCTTTGGAGCCTGCATTTAAAAACTAGCTCCTGTGGAGAAAATTGAATTTTTGAAATGTTATAACAGTGAAATCCTCAGTTTTGCACTCTGTTTTCTAACCTAGGAGTCAAATTAAAATAGAATTATTAGTAAGATTTTCTAGTGTATATTATTTATATTCAGAAACCTAAACATTCCTGCTCTATACCTTGCCTTAATTTTTAGAAGTTCCTACTTTCCTGCTCTCTCAGCCTGATTCTTTCATCTACAATCCCATATCATACCCTATCTTTGAAGGTTCTGTCAATCTTACCATGAAATAAATACACAGTGGAACTCCAGATGAAAGTCCCTAACTGAGGTTTATATTTTAAACAACAAACAAAGTTTAATTGTAAGAAGAGATTAAACTAAAAATTTCAAGTGGAGGAGAATATGGGTGATTCAGGACTTTTCAGTAGCCCCTGAAGTTGAATGATAAAGGGAGCCACTAGGGTTCCCAATGAAATAAAATTTCCTGGTTGGTGGGAGTGAGATAATTCAATAAGAAATATACAACAGGAACTTTTGCTTCTGCAATACCTGAGTCCCAAAGCAGCTTGATGACTGAAAGACAGTGTGGTCCATTGGACTTGCACATTAAATCCTGCAGGTTTAAATCTCATTTTTATTATTTATAGCTGAGTAATGTCGCCAAGTTCTGTAAATGATCCAAACTTGGTTTTTCTCTTTCATGAACTAGAGTTGGTACTAATACTTATTAGGAAGAAAACAGGTAATATCTGTAAAAGCCCATTTCAAATGCCTAGCTAATCATGGCACATATTTAGGACAACATTTTTCCAAGTTAACTCAGTTGCAACTGCATTTCTAGTTTTCATGCTTTAGGTATTTAAAAAAAAAAAAAACACAAAAAACCTTTTCTTAGAAACACCATGTTCTTCCTTAGAAGCAACATGTAAAATTGATTTGAGACATCATATATTAACTCCATAATCATTGGCACTAGAGTATAATAACTAATTTTTAAATATTGTAATATGTGGCTATGAAACATTATCTTTTCATTTACATTGTAATACTTTCAGTCACTCAAAAGTTAAAATACTGCTTTTAATCATAGTAACATCATGGCTTATAAACACTTTTTTTTTTTTTTTTTTTTTTTTTTTTTTACTTTACTCTTGTTTCACAGTCACACCTGAAACTGCGATGGGCTACTTTGGTATAATATTAGAGCAGCAGCCATTGAGTACTGGGGTAGAGTTTCACCAGATAGAATTTTACAGAATTAGAAGTCTTTCAGCATTGACCCTCATCTTGATACGCAAGACTCTCTTTAAAATTATACTCCTTTAGTGTAGGTAAATGTCTGATTAAAATGAATTAGTGAACTAATTAATTATCTTCAATTCATCTAGTACATAAAGGAAATGGTTTTATTGCTTTTAAACTAATCTATTTCTTTTAAAATATGTATAATTTTAGACTTTATATAAATGTGACAATATTTTTGTATGGAAATTACTTTGATCATAATATAACAGTGATTCAAAAAGATTAACTTTGAATGTTGGGGACTAAAGCACAAACAGAAACGATTATGAGTTTTCTAATTGTTCTTTGCCTGCTGTACATAATAACATAATGTTGGGAATTTAACTATTAACCATTAACTATTACTATAGATCCAGCTGTAAACCACAATGAAAAACTTACAACACTGTAAAATATCCTCATAAATTACTATTTAAATACCTCTATTTAAAAATTGGAAACATTGACCTTCAGAAAGGTTAAATTTATCCAAAGTCACACAGCCATGTCAAAAGTCTTTATCAATGTTTTGCCATTAATTTCTCTTTCTCCGTTTCCTACAACCTTCTCATTTATTCACCTCTCCTTATGTGCTATTGATTAAACTTATTCACTATATATGGTTGACAATGTACTTAGATTTGGTACATTAGCTCTCTGAAAACTATCCATTTTTGCTTTAACTTTTATTGATTGCCAAATTAGCTTGATGATTGACCTAAAATGTCCACAATCAGAGACCAGCAGATGCCTTTCAAATACTTCATGTAGTTGTCTGCTTTCTCCACTCACCACTTTTTCAATGTTTAAAAAATAAGCAATTAATAGACAATGTATTATGAA
The DNA here is from genome assembly GCF_000001405.40 of Homo sapiens. Classification (NCBI taxonomy): domain Eukaryota; kingdom Metazoa; phylum Chordata; class Mammalia; order Primates; family Hominidae; genus Homo; species Homo sapiens. Next base: position 48,998,802 of record NC_000006.12, on the reverse strand, counting down.
CATGATTTATAAATAATAAATATAATTATAAATATTAAATATTAATATTAAATATAAATAGTAAATTATAAATAATAAATATTTATTAATTATATTTATTATTTATATACTATAACATATAAATCTAATATACAAAACAATATAATTTTTTCTATTATTTATAAATATTTTTATTTATCAATGAAGTATATCCAAATTCTTAAGTAGCAACTAAAATTACAATTTAATATAAAAACTCCTTAGATTAGAAGTGGTATAGATGGATAATATATAACTTTAACTACTTCTAAAGTTCAAATTTCTTAGTTCTGTTGCAGAATAAGTTCCTTAGATAGAAAGAAAGGAGAAAGACAAGAGTGAAAGAGAAGGTGTATTCTTCAGTGGAAAGCAGAGAAAGGTTAATACTGCATCAATTAGGTTTACCTATTGTGAAAAGCAGAGAAGGTGATAATCCTAGGAAGTGCTTTTAAACCAATATGAAGTTTAAATCAATAGTAACTTTGATGCAAAAAAGAGCAAGTAGATAAAATAAAATGTTTTTAAAATAGCATTTTGGTGAACTTGATTTGACAATGAAATTTTTTGAAAGATGAGATTATGAATTTAGAATGCAGGTAGAAATACTAAGAGAAAAATGCTTTGTTACACATTTAGTAAATTGTAGGATTACTGAAAAGGATTAGTTAATAAAAAACAAACTGCTGAAATTTTCAATCTGTTCATGCGTATAGTCCACGTTTTCCACTAGATATTTTAACATATTAGTCACAGTATGCTGAAGTCCCTATCTGATAGTTCCAACTTCTGGACTATTTCTGGGTCTGATTTTCCCAATATTTTTATTTGTTTTGTGTCTCATGATTTTTTATGTGATACCTGTTAAGTGTTGAAGGATAGTAGAGGTTGAAGTAAATGGTATTCACACTTGGAAGTGAACATGCCTTCTTTTCTGTTAGGCTGCCATTGTGGGGCTTAAATCAACCCAATTGGAAGTTGGGCGTCATTGGTGTTTTGTCATTACCATCATTTTTAGTGCCACACAGGTTAAAATTCCACCAACTGGCTGCCATTTTGTTGTGCTTTGAATTCAAGCTGGGAGGTAGAGGATTTTGTCAGTGTTCCTCATCTTCCTTCTGCTTTCAACTGTCCCTGTCTATTTTTTTCCTAGTTTGCCCCTCTCTCAGCAGTCTACTGCTTCAGCTCTTTACTCAGTACTAGGCCCATTAAAGGATAAGGAGGTGTAATCTGTTGTCCCAGTCTTGGTTCACTCTTAGGCCCTCTGAATTATGTTTTGTGGGTAAGACTTTCTCAGAACTCCTGCCGCACTGATTCATGGTAACTAGACTCTTGTAGAGTCCCCTAGTTCCCTCAAAAAAAATTTTTTTTTAAGACAGGGTCTCGCTCTGCCACCCAGGCTGGAATCCAGTGGCAGTACAATCTTGGCTCACTGAAGCCTCAACTTCCCAGGCTCAAGTGATCCTCCTGCCTCAGCCCCCCAAGTAGCTGGGATTACAGGCACATGCACCAGTCCCAATTAAGTCTTGTATTTTTTGTAGAGGCAGGGTTTTGGCATGTTGCCTAGGCTAGTTTCAAACTCTTGGACTCAAGATATCCACCCTCCTTGGCCTACCAAAGTGCTGGGATTTCAGGCATGAGCCACCACACACAGCCCCCCATTTTATTTCTTTGTCCTCACCAAGAAAGATGGAGTACCTTGACGACCCCATAATTTAACCAGATGCATGCTTTTCCCTGTAAGCATGAACCTAAACCAGGATTTTGAACATCCCCAGGCACTGATAAACTTGTTCAAATTGTTGCTCGAAACACTGAGAATTTAGCCCTGTTGCTAAACATGTAAAACCTAGCACTGGCCCTGAGCCAAGTTTCTTAAACCCTCATATAAATCCGTAACCCAACCCCCTTGTTGTGTATATACCTTGGTAGAACATTTATTTTCTTGCTATCTGTCTATAGGACCACAGCAGCACTCTCTATGCAAGTTTCTCTAATAAATGCTTTGGATTGATCATCTTGGCATCTAGTGCTTCTTTCTTTGGAATCCCAACCAGCCCTATCTGGGGACAGTTTGGGGCAGTCCCTTGCAGGGACTCTCCTGCTGCTGCTTTTGGTGTGACTCCAGTCGTGGGTACAGCTGGTTGAAACAACTATGTGGCTTACCTCTGTTTGATCTCTGTTGAAACGTAGTTTCTTTCCCTTCTCCCCGTGGCAAAAGACCTCTACTTGTTGTTGACATGAGATTCTATCCCAAGAACATTTCCTGTCCCTTTTACCTATTATTGCTTCTACACTTCACCAACAACAATGGATTTTTTGCCTGTGACCTAGTGTGGGAGGATTTCCTACCTCTCCTCCAGTGAGTAATGGTTTTTGTGTCTAATTCTCTCTCTTGCCTGGGATATAGAGAGATTGAGGCCTCTCCTTCAGTAGTTTAAGGGTTTCTCTTCTTATGGGAGGATGGGAACTGGCCCAGGAGCATTCATTTACATCTCTCATGTCCTTGTCACTGAGAGCTACTGTATGATCTCCTACCCTGCCTTATATCTTTCCTGTGATCCCCTTGATGATGGGACTATAGAAAAGAGTTTTTAAAAGTGTGCTACTCTTTTGGTCTGCATCCTTCAGTATTTTCCAATTAACATATTAGCTCCCACTTGGCCTTTAAAATCTGTTAATATTTTAGTTGATTTATTTTTACCTGCTTGTATGAAGGCATCTCTTTCTCCTGTCTGGTGCTCTGACTAAAACAAAACAGCTGTGTGCCTCATATTTTCTTGGAGATGCCCGTTACTCCTTGGGATTCAGTTTTCTCAGTTTCATGACTTCAACTCTCTTATGGTCTCAAGAAAATTTATGAGTCTTTATGTTATTCAGTTTCTTTCTGGTTGTTAGGTTGGAAATGACTTTCTGTGATTTGTTTTCAATTCTCCGTTTTCAATTTTTTCTCTAATACTGCCTCTCAGAGTGCCTTTCCCATAACAGGACTTCAGTGTTTGCTGCTTGCCTTCTCACACAGAGGGTTTAAATACTGTGTTGTATGAACAACTTTTTGCTAACGTGAAAATTGGCTAATGTATCATTCTTTCCAGTTATCAAAATATCCAAATTCAGGTGAATATTATTTTGATTTTGTTTGCAGAAAATTTTAGTCAAATCTAGTAATATAGATTTAGGACAGGATGATCTAAACCACAATTTCATGTCATATGATATGGTTCAGTGATTTTCATAAAGATGGATTTCTCATGCCAGATAAGTGGTTTCCTTTAGGCTGGTAATGTCCTATTGGTGAGATCCCCTTCCTTTTGTATGATAATAAATTTATATTCTACCACTAGAACAGTGAGCAGGACTCAGCAGGACAGAATTTACCTCCAATTGTCAAATATCTAAGTTCCAAATATAAGATAAAACTCTGACAAATGAAACATAAGTTAGTACAATTGTTTCTTGGGTATAATTATAACCTGATTAATAATATAAACCAGAAAGTGAAAGAGAAAATGGGGAGGGGGAAATGAGATTAGAAATTGGTGTGGCAAACCAATCTATGATCAGGCTACAGGAAGGAAGTCCTCCTTAAAACATTCTGTGTGGAGGGTGAGCCTATGGGGAGGAGTAATGTTCAAAGGCAACTGACCATCTGTCAGCACTGTGGTACCTGCTTCCCAGCACAGCTGGGCAGCTGATTGGCCCAATATGGCCTTGCCAACTCTTACTGGCTGCCTGCCCTCCACTCCAGTAGCAGCGAGAGTGGGCAAAGGTCTACCCAGAACAAAGTGAAGAGAGAAAAGTCACCACCAGAGGGTTCTCCTGCAGCTTTAAGCTTGCATTGCCATTCTGCCACCCACTCACCCTGTTGCCAAACACCTTCTGTGCCTCTAGGGGCTTAACACAGGGTTATATTAATTCCTCTAATCCATCAAAGTTGAGTTCAGGCGGGCATCTAGCTCCCATTTTAGTTTATCATCTTTTCTGGAGGACATTAATCACAATAGTTTGTGACATTTGTTGTCACAATAATCCCAAATTCTAAAAGAGTGACCATTAGATTTTTATATTGCAACACCAATATAATGCAGCAAATAAACAGCTGGGATAATGACAGATATAAAGAGACATGGAGAGCATGCCATTTAGGGTGACAAATGTAGGCACAACAAAACAGCAAATAAATGGTCTCTGCCCACCTGAGAAATATGGGTGAGTATTCTTGTTCCTAAAAGTGTTTCAGGTTTATATTTTAAAATACATTCAGACTTCATATTGTAAAATTTCTGTATTTTAGCCCTTTGCACAGCTACTCAGTTGTGTCCCTTTAAAGGAACCACAGTCTAAGTATTCAGTATTTGAATTCACCATCACCATGGGCCAGATGTCATGTTTGTGACATTATAATACAGCCTTTTTGAAACTTATATATTTTTTCACTTTTTTTTTAATTTCAAAAGGTTTTGGGGGAACAGATGGTGTTTGGTTACATGAATAAGTTATTCAGTGATGATTTCTGAGATTTTGGTGCACCCATCACTCGAACACTGTACACTATACCCAATGTGTAGTCTTTTATCCCTTGTCCCTCCCACCCTTTCCCACAAGTCTCTAAAGTCCATTGTATTATTCTTATGCCTTTGCATCCTCAGAGCTTAGCTTCCACTTATGAGTGAGAACAAGCAATGTTTGGTTTTTCCATTCCTGAGTGACTTCACTTAAAATAATGAACTTCGATTCCTTCAAGGTTGCTGTGAATGTTATTATTTCATTCCTTTTTATGGCTGAGTAGTTTTGCATGGTATATATACATATATATATATATATATATATATATAATGTAGTGTTTCATGGTGTGTGTATATATATATGTAGTAGTATTTCATGGTGTATATATATATATATATATATATATCAGAATTTCTTTGTACACTCTTTGATGGGCATTTAGGCTGTTTTCCTATTTTTGCAATTGCAAATTGTGCTTCTATAAACATGCATGTGCAAGTGTCTTTTTTGTACAATGAGTTTGTTTCCTCTGGGTAGATACACAGTAGTGGGATTGCTGGAGCAAATGGTAGTTCTACTTTTAGTTCTTTAAGGAATCTCCACACTGTTTCCCATAGTGGTTGAACTAGTTTACATTACCACCAGTAGTGTAAAAGTGTTCCCTTTTCACCACATCCCTGTGAACATCTATTATTTATTTATTTTTTGATCATGGCCATTCTCGCAGGAGTAAGGTGATATTGCATTGTGGTTTTGATTTGCATTTCTCTGATAATTAGTGACGTTGAACATTTTTTCATATATTTGTTGGCCATTTGTATGTCTTCTTTTTAGAATTGTCTATTCATGCTCTGATGGGTTTGTTTGTATTTTTTCTTGCTTGAGGTCCTTATAGACTCTGGATATTAGTCCTTTGTCAGATGCACAGATTGCAAAGACTTTTTCCCACTCTTTGGGTTTTCTGTTTACTCTGCTGATTGTTTCTTCTGCTATGCAGAAGCTAGTTTAATTAAGTTCCATCTATCTAGCTTCATTTTGGTTGCACTTGCTTTTGGGCTTTTGATCATGAAGTTTTCGCCTAAGTCAATGTCTGGAAGGGTTTTTCCAATGTTATCTTCTAAACTTTTTTTGGTTTCAGGCCTTTAGATTTAGGTCTTTGATCCACCTTGAATTGATTTTTGTATAAGGTGAGAGATGCAGATCTAGTTTCATTCTTCTACGTGTGGATTGCTAATTATTCCAGCACCATTTGTTGAACAGGGTCTTTTCCTCACTTTAAGTTTTCATTTGCTTTGTTGAAAATCAGTTGGCTGTAAGTATATGGCTTTATTTCTGGGTTCTCTCTTCCATTCCGTTGATCTATATGCCTATTTTTATAACAGTATTGTGCTGTTTTTGTGACTATGGCCTTATAGTATAGTTTGAATTTGGGTAATATGATGTTTTCAGATTCGTTCTTTTTGCTTAGTCTTGCTTTGGTTATGTGGGCTCATTTTGGGTTCCATATGAATTTTAGCATTGCTTTTTCTAGTTCTGTGAAGAATAATGGTGGCATTTTGAGGGCAATTGCATTGAATTTGTAGATTGCTTTTGGCAGTATGGTCATGTTCACAGTATTGGCTCTACCCATCCATGAGCATGAAATGTGGTTCCTTTTGTTTGTGTCATCTGATTTCTTTCAGCAATGTTTTGTAGTTTTCCTTGTAGAGGTCTTTTACCCCCTTGTTTAGGTATATTTATAAGTTTTTGTAGTTATTTTAAAAGGGGTTGAGTTCTTGATTTGATTCTCAGCTTGGTCGCTGTTGGTGTATAGCAGAGCTACTGATTTGTATACATTGATTTTGTATCCTGAAACTACTGAATTCATGTATCAGATCTAAGCTTCTGGGAGGAGTCTTTAGGGTTTTCTAGGTATACAATAATATACGGAAAATAGCAACAGTTTGACTTTCTCTTTACCAATTTGGATGCTCCTTATTTCCTTCTCTTGTCTGATTGCTCTGGCTAGGACTTCCTGTACTATGTTGAATAGAAGGGATGAGAGTGGGCATCCTTGTCTTGTTCCAGTTCTCAGAGGGAATGTTTTCAGCTTCTCCCCATTCACTATAATGTTGGCTGTTTGTTTTTCACAGATGGCTTTTATTGTATTGAGGTATGTCCCTTCTATGCCAATTTTGATAAGGATTTTAGTCATAAAAAGATGCTGGTTTTATCAAATGCTTTTTCTGCACTTGTTGAGATAATCATGTGATTTTTGTTTTCAATTCTGTTCATGTGGTGTATCACAATTATTTACTTGCACATGTTAAACCATTTCTGCATCCTGGCATGAAACCCACTTGATCACGCTTGATTATCTTTTTGATATGTTGTTGAATTAGGTTAGCTAGTATTTTGTTAAGGATTTTTGCATCTATAATAATCCAGGATATTGGTCTGTAGTTTTCTTTTTTGTTATGTCCTTTCCTGGTTTTGGTATTAGAGTGATACTGGCTTCATGGAGTGAATTAGGGAGGATTTTCTCTTTTTCTATTTTGTGGAATAGTGTCAATAGGATTGGTACAATTCTTCTTTGAATACCTGACAGAATTTGGCCCTGAATCTGTCTGTTCCTGTCTGCTCCTTTTTTGTTGTTGTTTGGCAATTCTTTTATTACCATTTCCATCTTGCTGCTTGTTATTGGTTTGTTCAGAGTTTCTATTTCTTCCTGGTTTAATCTAGGAGAGTTGCATATTTCCAGGAATTTATTCATTTCCTCTAAGTTTTTTAGCTTATGCATATAAATGTATTCGTAGTAGCCTTGAGTGATCTTTTGTATTTTTTTGATATTGTTTGTAATATCTCACATTTCATTTCTAATTGAGCTTACTTGGATCTTCTCTCTTCTTTTCTTGGCTAATCTTGCAAATGGTCTATCAATTTTATTTATCTTTTCGAAGAACCAGCTTCTTGTTTCACTTATATTTTGCATTATTTTTGTTTCACTTTCACTTAGTTCTGCTCTGATCTTTGTTATTTCTTTTCTTCTGTTGAGTTCGGGTTTGGTTTGTTCTTGATTCATTAGTTCCTTGTTGTGAGACCTTAGATTGTCTATTTGTGCTCTCCCAGACTTTTTGATGTAGGCATTTAATGCTATGAACTTTCTTCTTGGCGCTGTCACTGGGTCCTTAGGATGTCGCTTTTCCTGTGGAAACCTCTGTGGCCGGAGGCACATTTGCCCAAGTTTGCTCAGGCCCGCTAGGCACCTTCTGCCCACTCTGCCCAGCAGGCTGGACTTGGCTTGGGCTACCAGCTCAAATTCCATGCTTGCCAAGGGTGAGCCAGTCACCAAGTGGTGAGAGGTGTGTGAATGAGTGCAGGGCCCAGCCACAGTGCACAGCCAAGCTTGCAGGCTATAGTGGGGCAGGCAGCTCCAGGCAACAACACAAGAACTGGCTCCATGTGGGCCTGAGGCTGGGACGGGTGTACTGTAAGCAGTTTCCACTGTGGGCACCAGGGAATGCAGTGGGGCCCAAAAGCTTGGAGACACCAGAAACCACAGAGACCCAAAGAGGGTGTCATAGCCTTGGCTCAGGGAGCCCCTAGGTCTAGGTTCCCTGAAGAGCTGCAGCTCTTCTCTCCTTCTTGTCATCCACAACTTGGTGAGCAGGAGGCATATTTCAACCCCGTTTGTGTTACTGTTCTTTCAGTACCACCATTCAGCAAGTCCTGAGTTCTTGCCCTGCATTCAGGAAGAATGAGGTATGTGGACAACTGGAGGGTGAGCAAGGCAGAGAGGAGCTTCATTGATGGAACAGCTCTCAGAATACCCAAAGTGGGTAGCTCCTATACACAGGCAGGCTTTCCCGATGAGTGTCCAGCTCTCATCAGAGAGGAGACCTGGGGTGGGTAGCTGCTTTCCACAGGCAGTTTATCCTGATGAGTTGAAGAGATCTGAAGGGAATAGCCCCTTCCAACTGCTGGTAGTCCTGATGTCTCTGTGAATCTGGCTGAGTCCAGGGTTTTTATGGGCTTCAGAAGGAGGAAATGCATGCTGACTAGTCCATGCGCAGCCATGAGTGGGCCCAGAAAAAGCAACCTACATTCTCACTACAGTTGCAGACTCCACCCAGAACTGACAGCCTGGCCCCCATGCTTCTGGCTTGAAGATGGGGCTTCACTGAGGACCTGTCCCTTTCTGCCCAGGAGCCTGTATACCTCCTGACACCATCAATCATGTTGTCCATGTCACCCAGGCTGTTCATGCTGAGGGGCACCTGCAGGCCCATGCTGAGCCACCCTCAGCCCCACTTCAGCCTCTCTCTCATGCTCATTGGCACCTAAAGTCCAGAGGGGGGCCTAGGTAGCTGGGGGCTGGTGTGTCAGCATTGCCCCAAGCACGGGTACACCTGGCTAGGTCATGACAGCATATGGGTTCCCAACTTTATTCTGAAACCAGAGCAGGCACGAGGAGAGGGGAGAGGCCAGGCTGTGGAAGCAGGGACTTCCAAGCCTGTAGAGGCAGAGGGGCATCCTGGGCTCCTGAGAATGCAGGGATGCTCGGGTCCATAGTTGTGGCAGGGCAACTGCTGCTGCACCTGGGAGGGTGGGGTTCCTGCCCTACCAACTCAGAAGGAGGTGGGTCTCCTGCCTGTTCCTGGCTCTCACCAGCTCCATGGAGCATGCAGCACAGGCCGCACCTCCCTGGCTATAGCCAGCGTCTTTGCAGCAACCACTCCAGATGGGCTGCTGCTGCCATTAGCACTGCCTTTGCTGTATTTCAGAGGTTTTGATAGGTTGTTTCACCATTATCATTCAGTTCAAAGAATTTTTAAATTTATTTCTTGATTTCATTGTTGACCCAATAATCATTCAGGAGCAGGTTATTTAAATTCCATGTATTTGCATGGTTTTGAGGTTTCTTTTGGAGTTGATTTTCAATTTTATTTCACTGTGGTCTGAGAGAGTAGGTGATATAATTCTGATTATCTTAAATGTATTGATACTGTTTTGTGACCTAACATATGGTCTGTCTTGGAGAGTGTTCCATGTGCTGATGAATAGAATTTATGTCCTGCAGTTGTTGGGTAGAATGTCCTGTAGTATCTATTAAGTGCCTTTGTTCTAAGGTATAGTTCTAGGGTATATTATAGTATCCATTGTTTCTTTGTTGACTTTCTGTCTTGATGACATGTCTAGTGCTATCAGTGGAGTGTGTTGAAGTCTCCCACTATTATGGTATTGCCATCTGTCTCATATATTAGGTCTAGTAGTAATTGTTTTATAATTTGCAAGCTCCAGTGCTAGGTGCATATATATTAAGGATTGTGAGATTTTCCTATTGAACAAGGCCTTTTATCATTATATAATGTCCATTTTTATCTTTTTTAACTGCTGTTGCTTTAAAGTTTGTATTGTCTGATAAAAGAATAGCTACTCCTCAATTTTGGTGTCCATTTGCATGGAATATTTTTTTCCACTCTTTTGTCTTATTTGTGTCCTTATGTGTTAGGTGAATCTCTTGAAGACACCAGATACTTGGTTGGTGAATTCTTATCCATTCTGCTATTCTGTATCTTTTAATTGGAGCATTTAGGCCATTTACATTCAATGTTAGTATTGAGATCTAAGGTGCTATTCTATTCATCATGCTATTTTTTTGCCTGAATACCTTTTTCTTTTATTATTTTGGTTTTGTTTTATAGGTCCTCTGAGATTCATGCTTTAAGGATGTTTTATTTTGGTGTATTTTAAGGATTTGTTTCAAAATTTAGCACTCCTTCTAGCAATTCTTGTAGTGCTGGCTTGACAGTGGTGAATTCTCTCATCATTTGTTTGAAAAAGACTATCTTTTCTTCATTTATGAAGGTTAGTTTTGCTGGATACAAAATTCTTAGCTAATAATTGTTTTGTGTGAGAAGGCTAAAGTTAGGGCCCCAATCTCTTCTAGCTTGTAGGTTTTTTCCTAAGAAAGCTGCTATTGGCAAAACCCCATCTCTACTAAAAATACAAAAATTAGCTGGGCGTGGTGGTGGGCACCTGTAATACTAGCTACTCAGGGAGGCTGAGGCACAAGAATCGCTTGAACCCAGGAGGCAGAGGTTGCAGTGGGCCGAGATCATGCCAGTGTACTCCAGACTGGGTGATAGAGTGAGACTCCGTCTCAAAAAAAAAAAAAGAAAGCTGCTGTTCATATGATAGGTTTTTCTTTAAAGGTTACCTGATGCTTTTGCCTCACAGCTCTTAAGATTCTTTCTTTTGTCTTGACTTTAGACAACCTGATGACTGTGCTTCTAGGTAATAATCTGTTTGAGATAAATTTCCCAGGTGTTCTTTAAACTTCTTGTATTTGGATGTCTGGATCTCTAGCAAGGATGGAAAAATTTTCCTTGATTATTCCCTCAAATACATATTCCTAACTTTTGGATTTCTCTTCTTCTTCAAGAATGCCAATTATTTTTAGGTTTGGTTGTTTAACGCAATCCCAAACTTTGTGGAGGCTTTGTTCATTTTTAAAAAAATTTTTTTGTTGTCTTTATTGGTTTGGGTTAATTCAAAATCCTTGTCTTCGAGCTCTGAAGTTCTTTCTTCTACTTATTCAGTTCTATTGCTGAGGCTTTCCAGTGTATTTTGGGTTTTTTTTTAAGTGTGTCCTTCATTTCCAGAAGTTGTGTTTTTTTTTTAATTTATTTTATCTATTTCACTGAAGATTTTTCCCTTCATATTTTGTATCTTTTTTTAATTTCTTTAAGTTGGACTTTACCTTTCTCTTGTGCCTCCTTGATTAGCTTAATAATCGACCTTCTAAATTATTTTTCTGGAAATTCAGAGATTTCTTCTTGTTTTGGATTCATTGCTGGTGAGATAGTGTGATCTTTTGGGGGCATTAATAAACCTCATTTTGTCATATTACCAGAACTGTTTTCCTGGTTCCTTCTCCTTTAGGTAGAGTACATCAGAGGGAAAATCTGGGACTCAAGGGCTGCTGTTTATATTCTTTTTTCCCATGGAGTGCTCCCTCGATATGGTGCTCTCTCCCTTCCCTTAGGGATGTGGCTTCCTGAGAACCAAACTGTAGTGATTGTTTTTCACTTCTGGATCTAGCCACACCCAGTGGAGCTACCAGGCTCCAGGCTTGTACTGGGGAGTGTCTGCACAGAGTCCTGTGATGTGAACTGTCTTCAAGTCTCTCAGCCACCGATGCCGCACCTACTCTGGTAGAGGTAGAAGGGAAGTGAAGTGGACTCTGTGAAGGTCCTCAGTTGTAGTTTTGTTTATTGTGTTTATTTTGCAATGGTTGGCCTCCAGCCAGCTGGTTTTGCTTTCAGGAGAGTATCAGCTGCAGTAGTATAGGGAGGACCAGGTGTTGGGCAGGGCCCTAAAGCTTCTATGAGATTATGTCGTTTGTCTTCGGCTACCAGGGCAGGTAGAAAAGACCATTAGGTGGGGGCAGGGTTGGGCGTGTCTGAGCTCAGACTCTTGGGCAAGGCTTGCTGTGGCTGTGGTGGGGGATAGGGGTATGGTTCTCAGGCCAATGGAGTTATGTTCCCAGGGAAATTATGGCTGCCTCTGCTACATCATGCAGGTCACCAGGGAAGGGGGGAAAGCCAGCAGTTACAGGGCTCATCCAGCTCCCACACAGCCCAAAAGGCCAGTCTCACTCACACTATGCCCCCTCAACAGCACTGAGTTTATTTCCAGGCAGCCAGTGAGCAGGTCTGAGACCTTGTTCCAGGTTACCAGCTTCCTGGCTGATAAAACAAGCAAGTCTTTTAGGTTTCACACCTCCCTGCCTGCCATGGCTTCTGTGCTGTGTCTGCACTCCCAATTTACCCTATCCCAGGTTCTGTCCAGAAAACTTCATGTTGGGTTGAAATTGTTACAAATTCAGCTGGAAGTTTCCTTCACCCTGTGGTCTTCCCAATTTCTCTGGCAGCCTCCACCCCCAAGGACTCCTGTGAGATGAAGTCAGAAATAGCTTCCCTGGGGACCAAGAAAGCCCACAGGGCTCTTTCCGCTGCTTCTTCTACCCTTGTATTTTGCTTGGCCTTCTCAATTTATCTTAGCTCCAGATAAGGTCAAATCTTTCTCCCATCATCTGGACCTCCAGGCTCCCCAGTGCGGGTTTGTGCTCAGGGTTAAACAATCCCCCTTTCATGCTTTCACACTTTGGATACTCACAGATTTTCAGCTGTTACTCAGGGCCTGCAGCACCAATTCTCTTTCTTCAAAGGGTCTGTGGATTCTATCGGCTTTTTTGGTATATCCCTGTGGTAGTTTCTGGAGCAAAAACTCATGATGTGAGAATCTCCACATGCTGTTCTGTCTGTCCGAGTGGGAGCTGAAAATTAGTCCTGCCTCCTATCTGTCATTTTCCTCTGGAATGTAGCATATATTTTATAAGAACTGCTAATGAAAATTTTCTTCAGATACAATTCCTTTTCTGAATATTATTAGCAGAGATAACTATTTTACAAAGTATTGTTTTTGTTTAATATATTATTCATTAATGAAATATCTGACACCCTAAAACCAAATGAACATATCCACAAGTTTTTACTTTAATTCCATAAGGCAAAAAGAAAGGATTCCAGGCAGTAATTTAGGTTTGTATTATTTTTTAATCTACTTCAGAAGAATATGAGGAAGCCACTAACAGTCAATTCTTATGGGAAAAAATTAAAATAAAGTAACTTATAATTGTATAAGTATACTGTATAAAATAATACAATATAAATATTGTATTTATATTTATATACAATATATTTATATACAATATAAAGTATATTGTATAAAATAATTAACTTATAATTGTATAATATAATATAATTGTATAATAATAAGTAACATAAGTTACAATGAATTTGCTAGAGCTTTGTAAAATTCAAAAGCATAACACTTTACCAGTGTTATTATTATTCATTGAAGAATGTTTCTTGGCTCAAACTTTATTTCCTTGAGACAATATATAAAGAGGAATTGTATGGAATTTGGAGTTAAACATGTGTTCGAATCTCAGAGTCATTACTACTCAATACTCATCTTTCAAACCATTTCATCAGTCTACACAGGAATTGCTTATTTATACAAGCAGTTAACTCATTGTTACTCACTGACTTTAAAAAAAACTGTCAAATTAGCTCTATATAGTTAACCATGTTCTTTTGTGTCCGGAATTGGTGGGTTCTTGGTCTCACTGACGTCAAGAATGAAGCCGCGGACCCTCATGGTGAGTGTTACAGTTCTTAAAGGCAACGTGTCTGGAGTTTGTTCCTTCTGATGTTTGGAGGTGTTCGGAGTTTCTTTCTTCTGGTGGGTTTGTGGTCTCACTGGCTCAGGAGTGAAGCTGCAGACCTTTGCGGTAAGTGTTACAGCTCTTAAGGTGGCATGTCTGGAGTTGTTCATTCCTCCTGGTGTGTTTGTGGTCTCGCTGGCTTCAGGAGTGAAGCTGCAGACTTTCACGGTGAGTCTTGCAGCTCATAAAGGCAGTGTGGACCCAAAGAGTGAGCAGCAGCAAAATTTATTGCAAAGAGTGAAAGAACAAAGCTTCCACAGTGTGGAAGGGGACCCAAGCGGGTTGCCACTGCAGGCTCAGGCAGCCTCCTTTTATTCTCTTATCTGGCCCAACCCACATCCTGCTGATTGGTCCATTTTACAGAGAGCTGATTGGTCTGTTTTACAGAGAGCTGATTGGTCCGTTTTAACAGGGTGCTGATTTGTGCGTTTACAATCCCTGAGCTAGACACAAAAGTTCTCCACGTCCCCACTAGTTTAGCTAGATACAGAGTGTCAATTGGTGCATTCACAAACCCTGAGCTAGACACAGGGTGCTGATTGGTGTGTTTACAAACCTTGAGCTAGATACAGAGTGCTGATTGGCGTATTTACAATCCCTTAGCTAGACATAAAGATTCTCCAAGTCCCCACCAGACTCAGGAGCCCAGCTGGCTTCACCCAGTGGATCCCGCACAGGGCCGCAGGTGGAGCTGCCTGCCAGTCCCACACTGTGTGCCTGCACTCCTCAGCCCTTGGGTGGTCGATGGGACTGGGCGCCGTGGAGCGGAGGTGGTGCTCATTGGGGAGATTCGGGCCACACAGGAGCCCACGGTGGTGGGGTTGGGGAGGCTGAGGCATGGCGGGCTGCAGGTCCCAAGCCCTGCCCCGTGGGGAGGCAGCTAAGGCCCGGCGAGAAGTGGAGCACAGCAACTGCTGGCCCAGGTGCTAAGCCCCTCACTGCCCAGGGCCGGCAGGGCCAGCTGGCGGCTCCGAGTGTGGGGCCTGCAATCGCGGGCAGGGTGGGTGCCAAGGGCAAGGAGGCACCGAGAGCGAGCGAGGGCTGCGAGGGCTGCCAGCATGCTGTCACCTCTCACTTTGACACACATCTGTTATTTCTGCAATTAGGTACAAGAAGTTACCGAAAGTCCTATAAATATTGGCTATGGAATATAAGCCAACACCCAAATCTGAAGCAGCGATAACAGTTGAACATTTTCTTAAGGGTTTTCTTTTTCTTTTTTTTTTGGTCTTTCAATAAACTCTTAAGCCTGGTTTATATTATAAAGCTTTGGTGCCTCCTCGGCCTTGGCACCCACTCTGGCCGCAATTGCGGGCCCCGCACTCGGAGTGGCCCACCAGCCCCGCTGGCCCCGGGCAGTGAGGGGCTTAGCACCTGGGCTAGCAGCTGCAGTGCTCAACTTCTCGCCGGACCTTAGCTGCCTCCTAGCGGGGCAGGGCTTGGGACCTGCAGCCCGCCATGCCTCAGGCTCCCCCACCCCACCACCATGGGCTCCTGCATGGCCCGAGCCTCCCTGATGAGCACTGTCCCCTGTTCCATGGCACCCAGTCTCATCGACCACCCAAGGGCTGAGGAGTGCAGGCGCACGGCTCGGGACTGGCAGGCAGCTCCACCTGCGGCCCTGTGTGGGATCCACTGGGTGAAGCCAGCTGGGCTCCTGAGTCTGGTGGGGACTTGGAGAATCTTTATGTCTAGCTAAGGGATTGTAAATACACCAATCAGCACTCTGTATCTAGCTCAAGGTTTGTAAACACACCAATCAGCACCCTGTGTCTAGCTCAGGGTTTGTGAATGCACCAATTGACACTCTGTATCTAGCTAATCTAGTGGGGACGTGGAGAACTTTTGTGTCTAGCTCAGGGATTGGAAATGCACAAATCAGCACCCTGTCAAAACGGACCAATCAGCTCTCTGTAAAACAGACCAATCGGCTCTCTGTAAAATGGACCAATCAGCAGGATGTGGGTGGGGCCAGATAAGAGAATAAAAGCAGGCTGTCCCAGCCAGCAGTGGCAACCCACTGGGATCCCCTTCCACGCTGTGGAAGCTTTGTTCTTTCACTTTTTGCAATAAATCTTGCTGCTGCTCACTCTGGGTCCACACTGCCTTTATGAGCTGTAACACTCACCACGAAGGTCTGCAGCTTCACTCCTGAAGCCAGCGAGAGCACGAACGCACCAGGAGGAATGAACAACTCCAGACACGCCACCTTAAGAGCTGTAACACTCACTGCAAAGGTCTGCAGCTTCCCTTCTGAGCCAGTGAGACCACGAAACCAACAGAAGGAAGAAATTCCAAACACATCCAAACATCAGAAGGAACAACTCCGGACACACTGCCTTCAAGAACTGTAACACTTACCACGAGCATCCATGGCTTCGTTCTTCAAGTCAGTGAGACCAAGAACCCACCAATTCCGGACACAAAAGGACTTCTGAAGACAGCATTCACTACATCAATGTAGTACTGTGTGATTGAAATTTTGGCTCAATTCATTTGTCACCTCAGTCTTCTTTGATGGCCTTGAGGGGGTTCGACCACCTCAATCAATATTACAAAAATCTTAAGACCAGAATTATGAGTATAAAAATACAATGTAATCACAGACCCACTTCCCTCTCAGTGGTTTGTCGAGGTCCCTAGGAGTAGCATGCCCCAAAAAATCAGGTCCACCTGGAATCTCAGAATGTAACATTAGTTAGAAACGGGGTCTTTGCCGATGTCATTAGTTGGGAATTCTGAGACGAAATCATTCTAGATTTAGAGTGGGCCTAAAAAGAAGGAGATTTGGCAGTATAGTCACAGAGAAGAAAGTCTTGTGATGATGGAGGCAAAGATTGGGATGATAAAGATACAAGCCAATAAACTATCAAGAATTGCCTGGAAACACTGGATGCTAAGAAGAAGTAAGGAAGAACTTCACTCTGCAGCCTTCATAGAAAGGCTGGCCCTACTGACTCCTTGATATGAGACTTCTGTCTTTAAGAACCGTGAGAATACATAACTGTTACTTGTGGTAATTTGTAACACCAAGTTCGTAGTAATTTGTTATAGCATCTGTAGAAAATCAATAGACCAGGAAAGAGGGAGGAACTCTCAGGAGCACCTCACTCAGGATATACTGTTAATACTATCCTACCAGTAATCCTAAAAAATTAAAACAAGCTTCTTTTCATGTCAAGTTTATCCTTTAGCATGGTTATAATTTCTGTGATTCATTTAATGAGAACCTTGCAATGAATATAGCCTCGAGATGTCATTTGGCACATCATTTTCATTGATATGTAAACCTCTTAACACATGTAAGCTACTGGAAGACAAGGGCCCTACTATTTGAATTCAGTATCAATTCAGTTATGGATTATCTGCAACTGAAAAATCACCCTGTGCTTTAACCTCCTCTACAAGATACCTACCAAATTTTCGATTAAGCTATTTATGCTAAAGGGAAAGTTAATTCTTACTGAGATAGCTCCTTCTAGCTTTTCAAAATACCTTAAGAAAGTCTTTAATGTAGAGTTAAAATATTGCCAGTTATAAGATTTATACTTCCACTCTAATTTTAGCCCACAAGACCACAAAAATAAAGTATTTCTTCCCACAAGTACATCCCTAAGTTTTTGAAGCTAACTGTATTGTTATCCAGTCCGTGTATTTAATAATAATGTTTTGCTCTCCTTTTTCTGCAATTTAAACTTGTTCATTTCCCCCAAAGAGATGCTCAGAAAATTAAGACTTAATTTCTTGTAGTATTAACATGTTTGAATATATCTCAGATTGGCTATATCTCCCCTAGAACTCAGCACCCAGAATTATATATGATTTTTAAAAAATATCTTCCATAGTACAGTGAAAGGAAGTATAGTATATTTTATCACGTATTAACAAACACTGATTAACTAAGAATGTTCCAACTTCAGTTGTAGATATTTGGAGAATCCTACACTGGATATTTTATATAAAAATTATATGGAAAATAATTTGATATTTAGAAAAAAAGTTTAAAATATTTTTTGCTTCCCCATTTAAGGTAAATCTACCTTCTGAGCTTCTTGTATTTGACTGTCTAAATGTCCAGTCAGGCTTGGAAAGTTTTCCTGAATTATTCCCTCAAACAAGTTTTCCAAACTTTTATTTTTTTATTCTCCCTCAGGTACAGCAAAGATTCTTAAGTTTGGCCATTATGCATAATCCCATATTTCTTGGAGGCTTTGTTCGTTGCCTTTTATTTTTTTAATTTTGTTTGATTGGGTTAATTCAAAAGCCTTGTTTTCAACCTCTGAAATTCTTTCTTCTACTTGGTCTATTCTTTTGTTACAACTTCCCACAGCATTTAGTAATTCCCTAAGTGCACCTTTCATTTCCAGAAGTTCTGATTGTTTTTTCTTTAAAAGATCTATTTCTTTAGAAAATTTCTCATTAGATACTAAATTAAAAAAAATCTTTATGTTGGTTTTCACCTTTCTCTTATACTTCCTTAAGTAGCTTAATAATCAACATTTTGGATCCTTTATCTGTATTTCAAATATTTCATCTTGGTTTGGATTCATTGCTGGTGAGCTAGTGAACCCTGTTTGTCCTCCTGCTAGAATATTTTTTCTAGTTCCTTCTCTTTGGGGTAGACTATTTCTTCTAATTATTTTTGAATTATTTTTGAATTCAACAGTGTTTTTAAATTTTCTTTTTCTTCCTCTTGAGGATGTAACTTTAATTTTTTAAATTTCTTGTAAACTAATACAGCTCTGTGTGCCTTCAGGGGTGAAGCTTCTGTATGAGTAACCTAGTTATAGATTCTTTGTATGATGGCTTTAAGCTAGTTGTAGTAGCAATGTGCTTGGTGTATGATCAGGTTCATTGTCTTCTGTGCAGTTGGAATGACAGAGGTCTCTTGAAACTTATCTCAAGGGCCAGATTACTGTGAGTGCTGCTGCTCCTCTAGGTCTAGCCACTCGGTGGGGGTGCCTCACTCCAGGCTGGTGCTAGGGAATGTCTGCAAGGGGTTCTGTGATGTGACCTGTCCTCAAATCTCCCAGCAGTGGTTACCAACACCAGCTCTGATGGTATTGGCAGGGGAGTGACATTGGCATATACCTTGTGAGATTCCTTGGTTATAAATAGCCTTAGTGTGTTGACTTTCTCAAATGCTAGTTGTAGTGGTAATAAAATTGTCTTGCGGACAGGTTCAGGACCTCCTGGTTAGCCAGAATGATGTAAGCAATGGTGATAGCTGAGGCCACACACAAGTTTTCTCTTTTCCAAGCACTGTATTATTGTGCCTGCAGATGGTGTAATGGACTGTGTTGTTTGGACTCCTGTCAGGAGGTGGAACTTGCAAAAAAAAACAACAGCCATGGTGGTATTAGTAAGATTTGTGTTTGCCTTATGTGACCCAGGAGAGGTACTTTTGCATCTCAGGCAATGGGCAGGGCCATGGAACTCCCAAGAGTTTCTGTCCTTAGTGTTAAGTCACCAGAGTGGATGGAGGGGCAAATCTGGGTGGGGGCTGGGTCAGGCAAGTCCACACTGGCTCCACATATGTGGGCACAAGCAACAACTCCAGTGAGAATCAGAGGGCAGTTCTCTGGCCACTGGGGTAGTGTTCCAGGGAGGAGCACATCTGCCTCTGCCATACCGAAGAGACCACATGAGGAGTGGGGAACAGCAGGCAGCAGTAAGCCCCACCCAGCTCCCACACATTTGGCAAAGCGACCTCACACCTGCGGTGTCCCACTAGCAGCAACTAACTAGGTTCCAGGCAGTGTGCTCAGAACTCAGAACCACCCCAGGCCACAAGCCTTCCCTGCAGAGACAGAAACCAAGGCTTTCAGTCCACGTTCTCCAAGTCTGCCTGTGAAGCATGCGTGTCTAGCTCTCATGCCTGCGGCTGCAGCACAATCTCCACTCGCCCCACGGTTTTTGCCAAGGTCTTTTATTCCCATTTGAGATTATATCATAAATCTCAGTTGGGAGCTTCTCTCAACCTTTGCTGCCTGAGTTAGCTAGCAGACTTGCATGAAGTCTCCTGTAAAGTAGGATCAGGTATGGGTTCCCTACATCCCCACTGGAAACTGGGAGCTCACACAAAGTCCATCTCAGAGCCATTCATTTTTATATACTCCCCACTGCTCATTAACTCACCTCCAGCGCTGGGTAGGATTAGGGCCTTTCCCAGTGGCCTGTATTGCCAGGTTCCCCAGTCGGAGAGTATATCCCAAAGTCACTTTATCCCCCTCTCACACTAGAGGCACTTAACAGTTTTCACCTAGCTCACAGTGTAGGCTGCAGCCTGATGTTTCTTTCAAAGGGTCTATGATTTCTTTTAGTTTTTTTAAGTTCCTGTGTTGCTTCTTGGGAAAAAGTTCAGTGTGATTCTCTACACACTATTTTGTCTTTCCAAGTGGAAGAGGCATGCTAGCAATGTCTCCAATCTGCCATCTTGGAAAAAAAATGGGTCTTAATTTTTAACAAAAGGCTTTAAAATAAAATAATAATAAAACTATAAATAAATAAAGGTCATAGAATAAGGATATAAAGAAAATATTTTTGTACAGCTGTACGATATGTTTGTGTTTTAAGACAAGTGTTACTACAAAAGAGTCAAAACATAAAAAGTATTAAAAAGTTTTTAAAATAAAAATGTTACATTCAACTGAGGTTAATTTATTATTGGAGAAATAAAAATATTTGTATAAATTTAGTGTATCCTAAATGTGCAGTGTTTATAAAGTCGACAGTAGTGTACAGTAATGTCCTAGGCCTTCGCATTTACTCACCACTTACTCACTGATTCATCTGGAGCAACTTCCAGTCCTGCAATATCCATTCATGGCAAGTGCCCTCTACAGTTGTATTGTATTTTATCTTTTATACTGTATTTTTACTGTCCCTTTTCTATGTTTAGATACACAAACACTTACCATTGTTTTACAATCGCCTCCAGTATTCAGTACAGTAATATGTTGCACAGGTTTGTAGCCTAGGAGCATTAGGCTATAGCAAATAGTCTAGATGTGTGAGAGGTTATACCATGTAGGTTTGTGTAAGTACACTCTATGATGTTCATATGATTTCCTAACTACATATGTCTCAGAACATATCCCCATTGTTAAGTGATGCATGACTGTATAAAATAAGTATTTCCTAAAATCTAACTCTTATGTTAAAACTCACTTTCCTTATAATAAACACTCACTTACTTTGCATCTTCCTCTCTCAAAGCTCAGTGACTAACTCACTACACAAAGCTATAATGAGTGTTAAACATAAAGGTCCCTGGATTTTCCTGTACTCCTTACAGTAGTCTGTCATTCTTAATCCATTTAAAATAATTAACAAGGGAACCAGCCTAGCCGAAACTTAAACTTTATAGAATATAATGTTATTAAATAAACTTAGACCCAGATGATACCTTAAAATCATCTCCTCCTGATAACTTATAGCAATAAAAGAGAGATCAGGGATTCTAAATAACCTACGGAATGTTACACAGTTTCATAGACATATATGTCAGGGTTAGAAACTGAACATACCTAATTTAGTGCATTTTCGTCTGTTGTTTATAATATGACTTATGTCTTTATTTAAAAATAATAAATGACTTTTTCTTGATAGTTAAGAATAAGAAGGATATTTGGAAAAATAATATGGGTTGATTATTTTACAGACTCAAACATTAGAATATAGTTTCTAATGTTAACTTGTACTTACGTTTCTTTAGTGATTAACTCCAATAGTTGCATATAAATTCTAGAAATTTTATGGATTTAACCAATTCTAAAATAATATTTTGCTTCAGACTATGTTTAAAGATTTAAGTTAAAGAGGAGTAAATACAAATAGAAATTCATTTGGTACATGAATTTATTCTCACATATTAAACTGGGTTCTCCCTAATTTGAACATATTTTTCTTGAAGGCTAATATAATAAAGTGTCTTACTAGTGCTTAGATAGTGTCATTTAATCAGTAGATGCCCAATATATGTTGTTAAAGATGAACTTAAAATGAACCCTGTGAGACTACTGGGCACATGTCTCAGTTTAAGGATGAATGATGTCTCCAGTACTTATAGCCTCAACTATTTCCCTTGCCTCCTTGCCAGTCTTCCTTCTGCAAGTCTAACAAAGAGTAAGTGAACCACATGAATTATTAATATAACTAACCCTGGAGAATTTGTATTCTAACAAAGATCAAAGCCTCAAGGTAAATCTATAAATTCCTGGTATGGAAATGTAGACATGAGTAAGAATTAAGGGAGAAAAACAGAGAAACTACCCAGCACCTTGCAGTCACCCTATAGTATGAAGAACATGGTCCCAAATTATCAATTCTTTGGTGTTATTTGATGATTTTTTAACACAAAGTGTCTATTGCTTTAGTCGTACTGTATCAGTTGGTAGAAATATTTCAGTTTTAGAAATAGTTTGAGTGATTTGCAAGAAATGTATCTCAAAAATAGCAAAATAATTAAAACTAGCAATTTTTTCCCAGAACAGCTAGTCTCAGTTTTGTGACTCCCTAGGGCAATGATTTTGAGGCTTGTGAGCTTGATAACGCCAACCCGAGGCAATTCCATTGGACAGAATCTTAGGTGTTCTCAGACAGCCTAGAGGGACACATCTTGTGTGAGATGTGATTTTCAGGTTGTAAATTACTAAGATGTGCTAAGTCTCCCTTGCTTAGTGTGGTACCTAAGATAATAACTTAATGTATGAATTGAACTCCCCCTCCTCATATTGTGAAGGACATAAAATTCCTCTGAGTGGTCGAAACTGAAAATCACTAACTTTCTATGCTCTGGAAAGTGACATTTATCAGGGCAAGAACATGACAAGTATTTGGAACAAAGTTGGTCTCTTGGGTATGAGCGTATGATCTCCTGGTCCATAATCCTTGGTCTCAGCCAAGTTTACCACGGAGGCGCAGCCAGCCTTGTTCATAGATGGATCATTCCATTTGTGCGTTGCAAAATTACTTCACTGGAGTGATTTGGTGGTTGACATTCATAAACTTGAGAACAGTGACCTCATCTTATTTACTAATTTGACATATCTGAGACTGCGTTAATGAAAATTCACTAAGATATTTCATGCAATTGATGCTGGAAAAATCTCTTGAAGCCTGTAATTGGTCAACCTAAAAAGTCACACAACTCAAAATACATGAGCACCATAAAACAGTCACTTGCCGTGTACAAGCATTTTCCTTCTATGTCAGTTGGCATACATTCATTCATTCAACAAATAACATTGTAAGTGCCTACTATGTTCTTGGAGATGAAAATACAGAGTTAGACAAAATAGTCAAATCACTGTCTTCTTTGACCTTTTATGCTTTTGATTTCCTTCTTTCATACCTGTACCAAAGTAGGTTATCTTTAAAAAGACAACATTACCAGAACACTACCTTTTCTAACAGATTAAAAGTGGTCATTCTGCTTCCCACTGGGACCAGGCTGTAAATGATTCAGGAATCCTTTTAAGTTTGGGCTACATTTGATGGTGCTTGGTTTATTAATAGACTATACAATTCTTTTATTTGTTGTAATTACTTCACAATGTGATAACTAAGCCTTCTTCAGTGAGCAGGTCTCAAGTGTGGATATGTAGCATTCATGTCACCAACACCTCTTGTTACCTACTATTATCTGCTTCCTTTCATCAACCCCAAACTCAGTCTGGAAGCTTCCAAACATCATGTCTGCATCAAAGTTCAGCACAGATATTACTTTGATTCCCTTTGTCTCTGGAGAAAATTTGAAGGAATATTTTCACAGAAAAGGTCCTTGGGATTTGGGATCTTAGATGTACAAAAAAGGAGTCTAAACGTCTAGCTCCTATGAAATTTATTTAGGAGGACTCCCCTCTCAATATAGGCAACTTCTATAGGAGTGGATTGGAATCAAGAAAAATTGAAGTCCAATTCAAACCGTGTTATTTACTAAATGGCTGTGCTAGTTACTTAACTTATATAAAACTTAGTCTCGGCCAGGCGTGGTGGCTCACACCTGTAATCCCAGCACTTTGGGAGGCCGAGGCAGGTGGATCACAAGGTCAGGAGATTGAGACCATCCTGGCTAACACGGTGAAACCCTGTCTCTACTAAAAATACAAAAAATTAGCCGGGCGTGGTGGCGGGCGCCTGTAGTCCCAGCTACTTGGGAGACTGAGGCAGGAGAATGTAGTGAACCCAGGAGGCAGAGCTTGCAATGAGCCCAGATCGCGCCACTGCACTCCAGCCTGGGTGACAGAGTGAGGCTCCATCTCAAAAAAAAAAACAAAACAAAAAAAAAAAAGAAACACAAACAAACAAAAAAAACTTAGTCTCTTTACCTTTAAGATAGGAATGAAAATTACTTTGCATATTCTTTGTAATGCTACAAGAATCAACTGAGATAATACATAACAACTGCTCAGGTAATATTCTTACCCCTCAGATGCTTTGCAATAAGAATCAAAAGGTGAATTTCATGGTGTGTAAATTTTCTCAATAGAGCTTCTATAAACAAAATGGTGTGGTGGCCTTTAATATAAATTTACTATGAATAATAATATACATTACCTTTGAATAATGATACAATTTCAAAGCCATTTATATATATTACAATACCTGCAATCTACCTGGTACTTTTAAAACAAATATATATGTATACACATATATATGTATACATATGTATACATATATATTTATACACACACATATATATCATACATTTTCTCTATTACTTTATATTATCAGGGAGGTGAAAAAAATAGGTTCAGAGAGAGTCAAGGCGATATAATTTACAGAGTGCCTATTATGGGACTAGTGTTATGCTAGACCTACAGATACAACGAGTGAGTCATAGAACTCACAGTATGGCAACAGACATCTTAGCAAATAATTATAAGACAATCTAATAACCAAAATAAATTATCACTGCATTATGGGCTATAAATGTACTGATTATAAAAAAAAAAAACTGACATTCTCAGGATTGTTGGGAAGATCAACATTAAAAGTGACAATTTCTGTGCAGTTATTTCAATAGCCTTGGTTTTGCTATTACTTTATTTAAAATACCATAGAAATGTAGAAAGAACAGGGATAAGGTAGCCAAATGAAAAGAAGAGGAGCTTTGGAAGGAGTCAAGTTTGATTTCATATCCTATTTCTTTCACTTAACATCTTTATAAACTTATATAGATATTCTA
This sequence comes from Homo sapiens, assembly GCF_000001405.40. NCBI lineage: Eukaryota > Metazoa > Chordata > Mammalia > Primates > Hominidae > Homo > Homo sapiens. The sequence continues at coordinate 48,973,816 of NC_000006.12, read as the reverse complement.
ACACCTCTGATATTTAACTTCCTTAATTACAAAATTAAGATAATTTCTATCTAAAAAAGGATATTTGGGGCTTAGGGAGACATTGACCAAGCTTAGAGAAACATTGGGCAAACTTCCAGGAAAGCATCTTATTACTATGAGGAAATCACTCCAAAACATTGTCCTGTGAGGTAAACAGAGCTTAATGCACTGCATGAAACATAGCACTCAATATGATAGTAAGGAACTCAATTATATAATCTCTTCATTCTTAAATACTTATAACAAAAATGCGTCATCCATCTGATTTAGCACATTCAGCATTGATAGCTAATTATATTGTCACATGTGTCAGGTTTATATCCACTTATACATTCCCTGAAAGACAAAATTGTGTTGTATTTTTTGTAATTCCCTCACATATCACATAAAAACATGTTTGGTAGTGGCTAACATAAGAAATACTTTTTTTTAATGCTTGACTCTTGGACTTGATCACTCTACTTCGCTTTTTCTCTTTTGAATACTATCTTTCAAATTTCAGAAGGATGGCATAGCCACACACACAAAAAAACTAAAGGTCTTCATGTTTAATCAATATAGAACTTCATGATAACAGTAAAGATTTTGTTGAGATGATCAAATCTCAAAAGAAATAACAAATTCCAGGTCTTACTATTCCCAGGAGATTTTTACTTACTAGAAATAGTGGTAATATATTTTCAAATGCAACATTAAATGTTCCCATGGTTTGTTATGGTAAAGGTGGAAGGATGAACACAGTCTAGCAGGTGAGACAACCTATACAGATTTAATTTATGAAAGCCCTTCAAGTCAAAGACTGTGTCTTAAATATCTTCTGATTTAATTTTTTATACATGAATAGCACTTAACAAATGTTGAAACAAGTAGTAAAATAGATACTTAAGAAGATTTAGACTTTCAGGCATACTGAACCATGATTTATAATATTGTTTCCTTAGGAAATTCATTTTGAATGTGATTTGGTACTCCAGGTGTGGCAGAATCTTCCCCAACTAAGCGAGTGTATGCTTTCAACCCAGTGCTTCTATGAGTGTGACCTTTTTAGTTTCCACATATAATAAGATCATGTGGTATTTGTCTTCCTGTGCCTGGCTTTTTTCACTTAACATAATGTCCTCCAGGCTCATCCATGTTATCACAAGTGACAGAATTTCTTTCTTTGCGAAGGATGAATATTATTCCATTGTGTATATATAGCACCTTTTCTTTTGCATTCATACACTGATGGACACTTAGGTTGACTCCATATCTTGGCTACTGTGAATAATACAGCAATGAACATGGGAGGGCAGATATTTCTTCAGTATATTTATTTCAGTTCCTTTAGATATATACCAAGTAGTAAGATTGCTGGATGGTGGTTTTATTTTTAATATTTTGAGGAATCTCCAGACTGTTTATCAACATGGCTGTTCTAATTTACATTGCCACCAACAGTGAACAAGGATTTAATTTTTTCTACATCTTCACCGACAATTATCTTTCATCATTTGATAATAGCCTTTCTATCAGATGTGAGGTGATATTTCATTGTAATTGTAATTTGCATTTCCCTTATGATTAACGATGTTGAGCATTTTTTCATATACTTGTTGGTCCTTTGTATGTATTCTTTTGAAAGTCTATTCATGTTCTTTGTATATTTTTAAATTGGATTATTTATTTTCTTACAGTTGAGCTGTTTGAGTTTCTTATATATTCGGGATACTGAGGCCTTATCAAATATATACATTGCAATATATAAATTGCAAATTTTCTTCATTCCATAGTTTGCCTCTTCACTCTGCTGATTTTTCCTTTACTTTACACATGATGTTTTAAAATACTTGTCTGCTAATTTCAACATCTTGGTCATGTTGAAATTTCTTTTTATTTACTGTTTTCCTCCTTAATTATCAGGATTTTTTAACCTCTTTTATATGACGCACCTTATGGATGATATATTGTGTAGACTCTGTCTCATGTTGCCTTCTTTGAAAGATGCTGAATTTTTCCCTGGCAGAAGTTGATTTACTAGCAGACTCTTGGTTTCATTCTTTGTAGACGGGTAGATTTCAATTTAGTTCTAGGCTATGGTCTTTGCTCTAGGTCATACTCCTTTCTCTTAAGGTATGGTCTTTATGGGAGACTAACCTGAGCATATAAGGTAATCACTGAGGACTCTTTTTTGGTTGTACCGGAACTCCAGCATCTCAGCACTGCTTGATCTCTGCTTGATCTGTCATTTCTATTTAGATTTGAGTCCTACAAGAGCCATCCTCTGTCAGGCCCAAATAATCACTGAGGAAACCTCACATAGATTTCAGGTGTTCCTATTTTCCTCGGGTCCCACCTCTCCAGTACCGTACATCAAAAGTCCTAGCACTTGTGTAGCTCAAAGCTGATCTCAGAGAGATCAGACCACAACATCATCAGCTCAGTGCAGCTGTCATACCCAGTTTTGGCTACCTCTCTTCACTGATAGAAGTTCAGCAATTGCCCTGAGATATGAAGCTGAAGAGAATGCAGAACTCACATTATATGCTTTTCTTCTCCAAAGGATTATAGCCTGTTGTTTAGTGTCAGTCTCCATTGCCTCATATATTTTTCCTAGTTTTAAATTTGTTTATGGAAGGAGGACATGTTCAGTGCCAGTTACTCCATCATGGATGAGAGAGGAAAATATTCCTTTTCAAAACCAAGTCCCTTGGTTTTGAAATTATTGAAACACTAGAAAAATTTAGAGGTTCAGAAGTAAGATATCATTAAGAAAACACCTATACTATTTTATAAATGTATTGATTTACATTTTACTCCAAGTTACATAATGTATTTAAACATCACATTCCTCAACACCAACACTTAGATAATCTTGCATAATGTATTTTGTCCATTATAAAATAATAAAATTAACTGGAAATTGCACATACTCTTTTTACTCAGTTAGTAATGCTTACAATCAATCTGGATTATCTAATCATAAAGTTGGATTAAAACTATGTTTACATTACCTTTCTCTTCCCCTAAAAGAAAGTACTTCTTGTAATCCATCATAATAGCATTTTTGATAGAAACTGTACCGTCCTATAATATCAAGTTTGGCTTTTGGTTTTCTTCTTAAATGAGTTGTTTCTAATTTTGGAATTTAGAGTAGACTTATAAAAACTATTCGAATGGCTGATCTAAAACATTAAAATAATTATAAGATATCCCCTACTTGCCTATATCTTACAATGTTTATGAAAGTATCCATATTTATTAAACTATTTTCTAGATTTTCAGCAGAAAGTCCATTTTAAAAGGTTTTGCTTGTTTGTTTGTTTGTTTGTTTGTTTGTTTTTTGAGATGAAGTCTCGCTCTGTCGCCCAGGCTGGAGTGCAGTGGTGCGATCTGGGCTCACTGCAACCTCCGCCTGCCGGGTTCACACCATTCTCCTGCCTCAGCCTTCCAAGTAGCTGGGACTACAGGCACCCGCCACCAAGCCCGGCTAATGTTTTTGTATTTTTAGTAGAAACGGGGTTTCACCGTGTTAGCCAGGATAGTCTCTATCTCCTGACCTTGTGATCCGCCCTCCTCGGCTTCCCAAAGTACTGGGATTACAGGCGTGAGCCACTGCGCCCGGCCTTAAAAGGAATTTTAACTGTTGTAGGATTACTTTACTGCACATTCTGTAGGTAAATTTATTCCATGATTCTGTGAAAATGAGATGTTTCTTGTGCCAACTTTACTTCATGCTATGGCTCTTAATCCTTACTCTCAGTGGGTTAAACTCTCTGCAAGCAGTGATAACATTTGACTGGCTCAGTATCACATCTGACCAATATATTAATGAGAATATTGTAGCTGAATCCACTTATAGCAAAAATAAATTTTAGAAATTGGTTCTTTTCTTATTGCTTGCACATCTTTGTTTTGAGCTAAATCATGCCAGATCAAACATTTTAAGAAAATAAAAGGGAGATAAACATGGAATTATAGAATTGAGTTTATAAAAATTATTTTTTAAATAATCTTATAGTAAAATATAGATTCCTTTTCCAGCAATAAGATCTTGGGAAGGAATAAAATACAAAGAATTTTATGAAAGTCACCTGGAAAACTTTCTCTAGAAAGGGAATAACTAAGATTAATACAAGGAAGGAAAAAGGAAACATATTTACAGAGTTTCTGCTGTGTGATTCTGTATTTCACACATACCATCACAGTTAAACTTTGAGCAACTCTATCAGTTACATGGCATCATTTCATTTTTTTTTTCCTAGTTAAGGAACACGAGGCTCAGGGAGTTCAGTAACACATGAATTCAGTTTATTAAACAGGGTTAGAATTCTGTTTCTTATACTTACTGTCAGTTATGTGTGACTCCAAAAAAGATTCCAAGGGGGAAAACACTGAAAAGGAAGCCAAAAATTGTAACAGAATAAATTCACCTATTGAATTATTTTTCTCTGTATTGTGCCTGGAATATTTATACTGACAGTCAATTAAATTTCAGGTGGTCTGCAAAAAACCAGTCAACATTTTAGGCATCTTCATGTAGGAAAAAAATGTTAAAACTCCTCTATATTTTATACGCGCACTTGAGTTCCTTGTCTTTACTTCGTAATATCTGACTTGAATACATATACCTGGCTTGGAGGACATCATCTCTCAACTTGACCTCCTTTATGTCTTATTTTAGTTAATAATGTGGCAGTCCATCATATTGTCTGTAAACTGGAAACTTGGGATCGTCTCTAGCTACTTTTTTTGTTCTATTCTTTATACCAAATTGGACTCAAGTTCTGTTTATTTTGCCTCAGACTGTCTTTAGAATCTGTTCCTTGTGTTTCTGCTATTTATTTATCTCAGTCCTTATGAATTAGCATCTGCTGAGTAACAGCTATGTGCTAGACTTTAAGAAAAAAATATGCCAAACAAAATAAAAGAGCAACAAAAAATTAAAAATCATATATCATCATTACCCCATTATTTATATATGAGGAAATAAAGAAAGGCTCAGAGTTGTTAAATAATTTAAGATAAAACTATTAAGTGCTAAAGCCTGTGTGCCTCTCGGGATAGACTAGTTTATGCTACAGCAGCAAACATCAAAATCTCTGAGAATGAAAACCTTGAAGGTGAACTTCTCCCCACAGTGATAGGGGAAATAGCAAACTATGAAATATTTTGTCTTCCACCCATAAAAAATACATATAACTTGTGTTCACATTTCTTTGGTTAAATCGAGACACCTGGGCTTGCTTAACTTAATAGGGATTCAAAGGTATGGCTAGAAGAAAGAGAACTGGAAATTTCAGTAACCAGCACTAATGATTAGTCAGTCAAGATTTGAGCCTGCATCAGACTGATTCCAGAGTTTATTCTTTTTAAGTCTTATGCTACCTTCCTGTTTTTAAATTCTCTCCTCACACCTTAGATCTTCAGTTCTTTCTATATAGTCTTGCAAAAGTGTTGCCTTAAAAAAACAATTCAACACATCTTGGTCCTTTTGAAAAATGACTTTCATAATACTTAGTACATTATAATTGATTCTTTCTGACTCCAACTTATCTTCTATTCTCATATTTTATTATTTGTAACATAATCAAGTCCAAAAAAGTTTTACTCTGAGATGTGGTATAGTAGGTTGCATGAGGACATGGGCTCTGGAACTGGATTGCTGAGTTTAAAATCTTTCTACGCCACTTAGTAGCTTTGTGACTTTTGGTAAATTACTTAAGCTCTCTCTGTTTCAAATTTCTAATTTGTGAAATTGGAATATTTATAATACTACCTTAGAGAGTAGTTGTGAGGAGTAGATAAGTCAATATAAATAAGCACATGGAATACTCCTGGAACAGAGTAGCCACTAAATATTTATTTTATGATTAAATTATATTTTATGCCATTTCATGCTTCCAAACTGTTGCATGTAATATAAATCATTCTTCCCTAGCAAATTGGAAAATTCATACCTTTAAAGAGCTACTTAAATACTGCTTTTTGTTTTAAAGAATTTTACAATAAAGAGTTAATATTTTTTATAGAGGTCCCTATTAGAATATTCAATACTTAATAATTCACATGTCCATCAACTTATCAACAAATATTATCAGGAGTTTTTTCTATGATTAGCACTGTGATTGGTATCATGGGAACTTAAAATAAGAACTATATGTTAACTGCTCTATGTTGGTTTACATAATTTAGTTGGGAGGAGTATAATACAAACAAATCATTAGAGCATAGTAAGTCCTAAACTTTGCAATATCAGCTGCCAAGTAACACAGTTTAGAGAAAGAGAAAGCAATGTGATCTAGGTGGGGAAAGTTTGGAAAAATGTATCTTTCCCCCCAGGTTGAGCTCCATGAAAACATGCATCAAGATTGTCTTATTCACCACCTTATCCTATGTCATAGTTCCTGCCATATATATTGTGTGCCCAATAAATTAATTATTGAGTGAATTAATGAATGAAGATAGGAAGGAATATCCAAAGTTTATGGAGAAAGTAGAACCTGGTTTGGGAATAAGGATAAGTATTTAGATATGACTATCTGACATATCTTCCATGGCATGTGATTAATTCAGAAAACTTTATTCTCTTACTCAACAACATAAAGAATATGCATTAATGATGAAAGGAAACATTTATTTCTTTCTGAACATTGACCCCAAAAGAGCATATATAGAAAAATGGAAAATGAACCATGGACATAAATGTCAAGGACATTTATTAAAATTATATTTAAAGAGCATTTCAAAATTGGCGTTCTACAATTTTGAGTTGACAGAATTAGGAAGATAGATTTTTCTTTCTCTGCTATTTTTTAAATCCACTTTATCTCTTCTCTGTAGCAAGGAATTGATTTACTACATGCCTGAAACAACTAGCTCAAAGGCATAAAATCTGCCATAGCTGCACAGGTATCTTGGCATACTATGTGCAGAAAGAATGTACGGCGACAACTCTCATTAGTTTATTCTGATTTGGAACCTTTTATATCTCTGAGTATTTTTTTTCTAATGATATGTATCCATTCACCCTCTTGTCCATATTGCTCTTTCTGAGTAGCTGAGAAACCTCTCTGTACCTCATTTCCACTCTCTTTTAACGCTTGATCTGAGTTGTGTTTTTTCTAAGCTCTTCAGGTTACTGAAGTTCTCTGTGTGTTTTGCTCTGATTCCCTACATTCTGTCCTTTTTCCAGAAATGAATTCTAGGGTCAGTTCACCTTTGGCTATGATGCATACACTTACTGTCTTTTCATAGAGAAATTTATTCCTCTTTGTTTTTTTTCTGGATGATTTCCCTACCTTTTCCCAAGGCTCTCCTACAACACCTCCCTGAGCACCCAGTGGACTGGAAACAGCAGGCTAGATTTCAAGTCTTATTTCTGCTACCCACCAGCCTTGAGATCCTTGACAAGACTCAGCCAATCTAGGGCTCATTTTTTCTCATCTGTAAACTAATGAGTAATATTGCCTACTGTTGTTAGATTTAAAAACACATGCTGTTTTGACAATCAAATGACAAGAAAGATTCTTTAAAGAAGCACAAATAACTCAGAAATGGTAAGCTATCTCTGAATAATTAGGGTTCAGCTGAATATTGTGATTTATATTTTCTTGATATATTCGTAATTGCTAAAATAAGGAAATCTCCCTTCTCCACCTGTTACGTAAAGCCTTTTTAATTAAATGAGGAGGTGAAAAATAGATATGCTTGGACACTAAATAGAATCAAGGCATCAATTATTGATAGGGCTGTCTCAGAAAACTCCCCCTATGATGTTTTAAAAAATATGTTATATCTTTCCTTCAGTGTGAAAAACTTGTTATATTTTTGTAGAAATAAGTTATTCTAGCCTGAGGCCAGTGATCCTATTATCTGTGGATTAAAATCAGTGCCTCCAGATTTTCAGCTTGATTTAGCATTTCTCTCTGCTTTATTTTTTAATCTTCCCTCCCCATTCTTTCACTAAATTTCCCCCATTGGCATTATACTTGTTTATGAGAAGTCTTACTATACAGATATGCAAATAGTGTAGTGTTTCCATAAAGATGTATCATGGCCTCCTATTGAGACAGCCATTTTGTTTTAACAATGCATTTCCTCAAAGGCTGGCTCCCTGAGTCTCCAGTGGTTCTCCAAATCCAGATTTCACAAATTAGTAAATAGGACACTTGGGGAGCACTGTAGAAGACAGTTTCATTATTTTATGGGGAGAGATAATTAAAAATTTTTTTGAGAGCTAGACAGATTGATTTAAATTATAAACCTGCTAATATGAAATTTAAAGTAACAAAGAAAGATAACATCTATTGTGATAGAAAGAGGAGAAACCTAGAGAAAGCCTGGGGTTCCAAGGAGTAACCTTCATCTTTTTTCCAAGTTAGTCTTCCTGATTACCAACATCCATCCATAATGTGAGTCAGGGCCAGCCTGCATACATGTACATGAGTGATGTTGGGCAGTGAAATCTTACTGTTCAAAAATAGTTTTCAGGCAACTTGGTTTGTTAGACATATCAAAGTTTTATTACAAACATGCTTTACAACAGACTGATTCAAATCTTTTTTTTTTTTCCTTGAGAAACAAATTTTCTGGGACAAGACGTTGTCAGGAAAAACATTTCTGAGGTAGTTACTGCAAGAAAAAATGTTGATTAAAGGTTTATAGAGTCTTGACTGAACGTCACATGGATAAATGGCATGATTGGTTTCCCTGAGCAAATTTTAATCATAGTAAACTTACATCAAATAATTTCTTAAGAATATTGCCTTCCAAGAAAGAAATTGTCAATTATAATAAACAAAAGGTTTCTGTCTCAGAATGACATAACTTTCCCCTATCACCATAATTTATACATTTTCTGCTAAATACATATTCCAGAAGCTGAGAAAGAGTTACTTTTATTGCCTAGGGTTTCAAGAGTAGACAAATTATAAAGAAAAAAATGAACCCTAATATTTTAACTTTAAAATGATTACTAAATAGGTACATGGAAAAGCAGAGACCAAGAAATTACCCTCATTGGATTTCCTCTCTTTTGGAGAAACTGCTTCCCTGGCTGTTTGTATAAATTCAATTTTTGTCAGCTGCAGCTGCCAAAGCTTTAGTCATCAATCTTAGTAAAAATGATTTCTCCTTCTGAGGTTATTTCTCATCTTGAAATCATAAAGTATATTATCAGCAGTCAGTGAAACAGGATCCGAGGAAAAGGAGGCACATTTGTTGCATTTACCTAATGGACTATACTTGTTTTCCAGTTTACTGTTCATAAATCTGGTTCATTTTCCTAGCTAAACCCCAAGTAATACAGATTTTTCCAGGCCACCACAACCTGGGAAGATATAACTGAGGAGATGTAGGTGTAAGAGTACTTTAGGTTCTAAGTCCTCACCAGGGAAACGGATATAATCTAAGCCTCCTCCCACTCTGCCCATGCCCCGGACTTCCAATCACCATCGCACATTAACACTCTTCACAGAAGTTCTAGGTGCTGATCTCTTTACCTGACCACCTTGTGGCTTTAGCTCAATAAATGTTAGCAACTATTATTATCCTTTTGTCATGAAATAAAAAGCTCTTTGAAGAATCTACATCATGGCCAATTCTCTTTATGCCACATGTGCTTCCTTTTGATACTCTCAACCATGCTGAGGAGTTTTGAGTTGCATGCTAGATATAAAATACTGCCTTCTTCTTAGCTCTTTGTCAGCATTATTTCTTAGGTCAAAAAGCAGTTCTTCTTGTACCCAAAGTCTCATAATTTTGCAAAAGTTGTCCCCCACCCAACCATATACACACATATCTATCTTCCCTTAATTTTCTCCTGAATTACTGGGGCAAGACCGACTTGTGTTTTTTCTCCCTCTTAAAAAACAAATATTTCTGTGCATAGATATGTGTATAAGCACACTTTTGGGTATACATAACATGGAGAAAGCTTTTCAACATCAGCACCATCTATGCCCTAAGTTAAACCTAGTTCAAATTTTACTGCTCAGTATGCATGTCCGTAAAATGTCATAAGTAATCCTTTTCTTTATCGTTTGCAGAAAAGAGTAAGTCGTGGATGGATGTAAAAAGACCGAGGTTTTTTTATGCCCTTTAGCATCTCTACATGCACATACATTTCCTGACTGCCCAAATATGGGAAAATTTCTAAGACAGGTACCAAGAGATCAGGTGCTCCAGAGAGCATTCTGGTTTACAGAAGAAACTTCCAAAATCTCACTTTCTGCTGTTGGAGAGCACTGCAAATAAACTACTAGGTTTACACTGCCTAACTCCAAAGTATTTGAAAAAAAGCCACTATATACAGAAGAATTAACTCAGCCTAAGCAGGAGAAATACATTAAAATATAGTGATATCCTTCTCTAAGCAGGATTGCCAGATGGGCATGAAAAAAATAAACACTTGACAAAATCTTGTCCACTAAATAAAATAAGAAAATGTGTACATCTAAGTGTCAAGATTTTATCATCATCATCATCATAATTGTCATCAACCCTTGCAGAAATGCTTCCTGATAAATGGAGTGTCCATCTTTGCTTGGACAGCTGTAGAATAGGTGTGGATGTACAGGTTTGCCGATCTGTTCTGTGTTATAAAGTGAGAAATCATTGCAGTCTGGGGAATTAAGAGAAAGAAGATGGAAACTAAAAATCGGTTGGAAAGGGATTGCATGGAATAAAACTGATTGACTTAAATTGTTCTATTGATAAAACTAATTGACAATAGGAGATTCTTACATCTTGTAACATCTTCTTACAGACTTATCACAATCTTTTCAATGAAATTTGCATAGCCCACTGATGCTAGATGCTTTTCATTTGACTGGATTATTTCAGGGAATGTGAGCATACACTGAGTCTGTTATTGACTTATGCAAAGTGAAAAAAGAAGTGCTCACTTAAAGCTACATTGTTATGTGGGAGATGAATTGATGGAAATTTGCATCTTTTTTTTTTTTACGGTATGCACTTGAAAATATTTTCCAAACAACGTCTTCACTTCTAACCACATTAAAGATGTATGTTCGAAAGTTCTTAAAATTAAGTTCCAAGTGTTTGATCTCTTTTGTTAACTCGTCTATAAATTATTCATAATACCAGCATTTGCCAATATAAAATATTTAAAATGGAATCAATTTTAACGAATTTGGAGGAGAACTTAATTTACTAAGAAATAATTATCAGGTAATAATATTTTACTAAAAAATACTTAACAGGAAATAATATTTGCTCAAGGGAAGAGATAAGAGTACATCTGGGGAAAGTTTAAATTTCACTAAAATTATGAACAAATCACATGTGTGTCCCTGAATATATAATTTATAATTATATAAATATGCATTATGAGGCCTATATATTGCTATTTCCATTCTGTAGTTTTAGAAATTGAGACTCAAAAGAGTTTGAAAGTATTGCCAAGGTCATATAGCTCATCAGCCTCACTCAGACTCTGCAAGATTTTGGATACACTGGAAAAAGTTACTCTCGCTGCGTACCTGCAGGCTGAGTGTTGGCTGGATTTTAGCCCACACCCTTTCCAGGCCTGGCATCTCTGCACAAGACAAACATTGCACAACTTTACTTGGCTGCGCTATGCTTTTGAGACCCCTGCTGTGATTGCTCTTTGCAAATCAAAGAGATGATGAATTTTATTTATAGCTAATTATCTTGGACACATGCACAGGAGCCAAATTATTTTTTTACTTTGACCTCTAAGTAGGAGTCAATGTTTCTTATATAATGATGTTGACTTTAAAGAGCCAAAACTAATTTAATGGTGAGTAGCCAGTACCTCAATAGAAAGTGAGAATTATTTAAGGTAAACACTAAGTGTGAATTGCAGAATTACATCACCAGTTAGAGGAATATTTTGTAAAATAGCTGCAGGGCAAATATGGTTTACCTAACAATCAAAATCTTGCCTTCCTATAGGAGCCAAGTTATGTAAGCAAGGATTAATACTCTATTTTATTACCATCTTAATTAGCGTGAAAATGGAAAAATTGAGTTGTTTTGGATGATTTCTCTCTCTTTTTGCCATAATGAATACAAATTTATTTTCACAAAGTATAGTTTTTAAACATTTTCTTTTTCTTCAATAATCCAGTCTGAATGAGAATAAGGCATTTAAGATAAATTATCTTTTTTTTGCAAAATTGAAGCTTTCCATTTTTAAACTGAAACTTACAATTTTTCTAAAATATGTTACACTTTTACATATGTTTGTAAGAGGATATAAAAGTAGGGTGATATAGTGGAAAGATTATAGTTTCTGTCATCGGAAATAACTTGGTTAGTTTTTGCATTTTTTTGTGGGTGGAAGGTTTATTTTGTTTTGTTTTCTTTGCTTTATATTATCTTCCTTCTCTGCACTTCCATTGCCTTCTCCATGGAATGGCTGCATGTGACCCACAGGCTATTGTCTATGAGCTCTGCTTTCACATAATAAAGTAATAACATAATTCAACAGCATGTGTTTAATCAATCCCCCAAATTCTCCAAGACTCAAACTGCCAGGGAATGAGTACTTTACTCAGGTTATGGAATCAGAGGAAACTCTAAGGGAGTGTCTCCTAGAACAAGGTGAATAAAAGAGTTTTGCAGGGTAAATGAACAAAAGCAGCCAACTTCCAACTTCAAGAAGAGATTGGGACTAGTAGGCGAGGGCCGTTCTGAAGTGACATGGGCCTTCTAGGCTTGGAGCCTGGAAGACCGATGACTGCTACACCTCTAAGCATGTGTGAGAAATACATAAGATGATGCGTACACAGTAAAACTTAGCATCTAAAAAAAACTTGATTTTATATCAATATTAATATTATGTAATATTAATATTAGTATTATACAATTAGTATAATACTTATACAATTAGTATAATACTAATTATACAATAACATTATAACAAACAGGTGGCTTGGTTTAGTGGCAGTAACATTAAATTTGACATCAAGATTTCAACTGTGTTATCTATTTGTTGTATAAATTTGAGCTTAATCTCCAATTGGCACAATTATTAAAATCAAGTCTTGATTTAACTTCCCAGATACTACTGTAGGAGTCATCTATCCAAAACACCACACTAAACACACACATTCCAGGATAAAAGTCACCTAGCATAGCACCCTCCTGTCTGCAAAGTTAAGCTTCACAACAAGGCCCTTTCCAGTGAGGACCATGAATTTCATTCTTCTAATCTCAGATCACTGCAATCTGTAATTTCAATCACTGTAGTGAATTTCTCACTATCTACTTTTCATTCACTCCTCTCCATTTGAGACCAATTCCACATTAAAGCCATAGTATTCTTTTTTTAGAAACACACATATTATTTCTTTATTTAAATCTAACCACAATCTTTTTCACTATTGTCAAGATAAAGGACACAATTATCACCATAGCATATGATGTCTTAAAAGACCTGCCCCTGTCCATTTGCTGGTCTTCATTTTTCTCCCTCTATCCTTTATGCTACCTTAGATTTAACATTCTCTCTCCATATTCACTTTTTATCTAACTTCTTTTCTTCAGGTCACAACTTAAACATCATTTCTCAAAGGTAACTTTGTTAGCCCTAATTTTATCCCATTGTCATTCATTTAAAATGTATTTTGCAATTTCCTTCACAATTGTTTCTTAACTTCTCAGTTATTTGCTCACTGCTCATTTGCTGTTCTAGGCTGCTGGAGGATGAGGCCACCACTCTCCCTTCAGTGCTTAGCACGGTCCCAGGCATCTATGGGGGAGGATTAGGCCTGGGTCTTTCCTGTCCACCAGTCCCTCTCCAGTGCTTAGCATGGTCCCACGCATCTATGGGAATTCTCTAATCCAGGAATAAATAAATAAAATATTCTTGATTATGATTTCTCAATCTAAGTTATGTGCCCTTAGGCAGTAAAACCATATATATTTCCTGAGCCTTAGGTTCTTCGTTTGAAATATGAGGGCAAGAGTATGTGCCTGCTTTGTAAACAAAGAAAGAAATAAAAAATGAAATGAAAGAAAAGGAAGGAGAGGAGGGGAAAGGGGAGGAGAGGAGAGGGGAAGAGAGGGAAGGGGAGGGGAACAGAGGAGAGGAGGGGAGAGGAGAGGAAAGGGGAAAGGAAAAAGGAAAGGAAAGGGTGAAAGATAAAGGAAATTTGAGAAATCACTTCGAAAACTTACAAGAGTTAACAAATATTATGTGCTTGGAGTCTGAAACTGAGTCAACAGTTAATTTAACATTATCGATGGACAGGGACTCATTAAGTGCAGGAAATGATTTATTCTACATTAGCCATTACTTACTATTTTCAGAGGGAGAGAGAAAGCTGGATACATTAATAATAAACTCAGCTCCCCATTGAGGCCCGTTCTCCATAAAGTGGAAAAAAAGCCTGCATATAATTTAGGATTTAATAGTATTTGCAAATACATTAGTGAGTGTAAAGTTACATAAGGAAATCCCATGAAAGAATCAATGGGAAAGCAACAGCTGCTGAAGGTCTCTAAGTCCTAGCAGCATTCCTTGCAGTCCATCTTTCTAGTTTTCCGAAATATATAAGTAATTAAATCTATGCTCTTCTTTTACAATTTGCTCACAAAATAATTTTTCCACTCTTTGAAACCTGCTCCCAGTCTGTTTTCATTTTTTTTATAAAAGTGTTTCTGAATGTATTTTAAAATTGTTTTCAGACACATTAACATCTAATGTAGTTTTTCACTTCAGTTAGGTGAATTTTGACATAATTCTGTCATTTTTATAAAAGAATCTTTTGTCAAACCTCTTCTCCCTATACTGCAAACATACTTGCATTTTTCAAGTCTTGAGATAGCTCACTAGGGTCTGGTGAGATATGGATAAATCTCACCAATATACCAACTATCTCTGTTAATCTGTATTAACATTTCATAAACTTTGAAGACTACATGACTCTCTTGGAAGGAATGACACTTCATCCCAACACTTCGGTTAGGAAGATATGTCAATCCACAAAGGGATAAAGCTATAACATTTAGATAACATCTAATGTGGGTTATATAATAATACTTTAAATTTGTAAAGAGCTTTATCAAATAATTTTATTTACATTATCTTGTTTGAGCATCAAAATTATGGAGTAGACATACTCTTTTACAAACCCAAAGTCTGAAGCTTAGAGAATTTAAAGAACAGAAGCTGGCACACAGCTACTATACAACAAAATGTGGATGTAAATGAAAGCTCCTTTCTCTGGTCTAGTGCACAAAGAGGACCCTAGTCCATTACCAACTAGTGGGGAGCATTCTCCTCATCTCTCTACATTTCTATGGGCTTCTGCTACTTTTCCTTCCAATCATTTATGCACATTCCAATATAACAACATTGGGGGCTGAGTAGAAGGTGAAGGGGTGAAGGGGAGCATCATAATACAAGACATACTTGCCTTCAAGAAGCTCATGGAAGAACAGGACTCTATGTTTGGATGGATCGCGATCCAGAAAAAGAATAAGAGATTCTTTGTTCCCTTTCCTAAACAGACTTAATCTCAGCTGCCACATAGAAAAACCATTCACCTTGCATATCAGAGTGAGGCATCAATCTGCCAAGCCCAGAACTCCCAGTTCAACTTGGAAGGCAAAGTAGTTTTGATGTCTTAAGTGCATGACAGTATGGCACCTATATTACACCCCCACATTTTCCTGATTCCAGAGGGACAGTCAAAAACAGTGGTTTTATGGTCTCCAACAAGTGAGTCTTTTCAGCTCCTTTCTTCACTGAAAGACCTCCCTGTCACTGCCTGATTCTGCAGAATTTCACCATCTGAATATTTACGTGGGTGGAGTGGACTCGTCACCCCATGCTGAATTTTCGAGTTCATGCAAGAGACAGTTCAGACATATCATTCCCCAGGGACACTGTTACACATCCTTCACCAAGCCAATCGCTCTGCACTGTGCCAGTTTTTTGTGAAAAAAAATTCTATAACATCGAGAGAACAATAAGAAAAAAACAAGCTAAATTGCCCCACTTAAGGAAAAGAACTTTCATATTTTAGTTTTTAAAAGCAAGATATACCCAGATTTGCTGGTCTGTTACTTGCGCAGTGTTCTCCTTGCTGCTACACAGCATCTCCCAATGCCCTCTCCCATTAGAAAAAGTTTCCCACTTTGATTCCTTAGTCCATTTAAAATTTGATAAATAGCTTGGGGTACTTTGACTGAATCTTCTTCATTTACATCCTAATCTGCACAGTTCTCACAGCTTCTGAGGTGGAATGTGAGTTCTACCTGAGGAGTAAAGATGAAATGAACCCTTTAATTCTCCACTAAATAAATTACAGCAGATTTTTGTACTATAAAAATTAGCATGTCTCACCAAGTGAAGTATTGAGATATATATTTAGAAAGAGAGAAGCATACATATATATAATATACATATAACATATAAAAATAAATTATGGTAATATACATACAACAAACATTTTTCCATCTTGATCGTTAAGTGTGCAGTTCCACAGTGTTGAGTACATTCACATTGTTCTGCAACCAATATCTAGGAATCTTTTCATTTTGCAAAACTGAAACTCTATACTCTTTAAAAAACAATTTCCCATTCTCCTCTGCCCCAAGTCCTGGCAACTATCATTCTACATTTTGTCTCTATAAATTTCATCAATCTAGGCACCTCATATAAATAGAATCATACAGTACATGTGTTTTTGTATTTGGCTTATTTCACTCATTATTGTTCTGAGTTCATCTATGTTGTACCATGTGTCAGACCTTCCTTATTTTTTAAGGTTTAATAATCTTAATTGCCTGTACATATCAAGTTTTGTTTATCTATTCATCCACCAATAGCCATTTCTGTTGTTTCCACTTTTTAGCTATTTAAATAATGTTGCTATGACCATGAGTGTACAAATATGTCTGAGTTCCTGCTTTCAGTTCTTTTGGTTATATTTCAACATATTTTCTTTCTAAAGCTCTGAGAAATGTTACAGCAAATCAACTATGTATGTCAATATCACATCTACTTCCTTAGCTTGAGGTTAGGTTTGTTTTTCAGTATATGTTGATATTCATATTATTGATATGAAGAGTGTGTTATGCTTAAATTAAATGTAAGTTATGTCTGTTGATTTGGTCACCGAAAACCTAAGTTTAACATAAATATACTAAATAATTTGTCCCTTCTAACTATCAAATAGTAGCAGATTTGCATTTGATGTAGGTATTATTATCACAGACAACATTTATTTAAAATAAATTTTTGAAATAAATAAGTACCTGTAAATAGACAATGTAGTAAATGGGATGATATATGCATAAAATATTATAATAACTATTTCTTGGAAATAAAATTCTTGATATTAAAAATAACTTAAGAAAATACTATAGATAATAGAGGGATAAGATTAAAAGAGGATGAGAAATTAGGAGAGACTTTATGTACTCCTGGTGAAAAATGAAAGTAGCTTGGACTCAGAAAATAGTAGTAAAAATAGATTAGAATTCATGAAGATATTTTTATTAAAAAGGAGAGTTCTGTTTGGGACATGACAATTTTGAAAAGTTTACTTGGCATAACATCAAAGCACTAGAAATTTGAACAACTAAGTCTGCAATTTAGTGGAGAAGTGAAAGACGAAAATTTTAACCTTGGAGTAATTGCTTTAGGGACCACACTTAAAGCCATAGGACCGAAGGAAATAACCAGGGAGTGTGTGTAGTTGAGAAGAGATGGGAACCAGAACAGAATATTGAGACATTCCAACATTTAGATGCCAAAGAATAAATAAGCTAGCAAGGGAGACAGAGAAGACCAAACAGGAAGGAAAATCAGAAGAGGTAGTACCAGAAGGCAGCTTTTCAAAAAAGAGAAAGCGATCACCAATAATAATTTCAAAGAGGAGTCAATGATCTTTGAAGTGATCTTAAGAAACATGCAGGTCATCATTAATTCAAACAACAATAATTTCCATAGAGTGTTGGTAAAAGTAACCTGCTAACAGTGGGTTGAAAAAGTGGTATGTGAGCACTTGGTAATAGAAATTCTAAAAAATATTAAGTGTTTTAATACAATGAATTACCCAGAAATAAAATAGTAGCTGAAGGGGAAATGGATGAATATGGAGTCTATTTTTGTTTAGTTTTAGGTTCGATGGTTTTTAAAATTTTTATATACTTGATAAAACATTTTTATCTGGTGATGAGAAACATCCAAGAGGAAGCACAATTATGACTCCAGGGAAATAATGGACCATTTGCAGAAAGAATTACTTGAGAAGACAAAAGGAGATGGAGTTCAAAGCAAAAGAAGTTTGGGCCTTAGGTAGGAGTACGGATCTTGAGTACAGATACAGGAAGACTAATAGAGTTGGTATAAGACTATAAAGGAACTCAACCAATTGTTTATATATATATTTTAATGAAGTAGGAGACAATATCGTATAGATAAAGGATTGTTAAAATGACACAAAACATTAGTTGAAAATCTAGGAATTATGGTCAGAAAATAGAATGCTTAAAACTGAGATTTCAGGCCGGGCGTGGTGGCTCACGCCTGTCATCCCAGCACTTTGGGAGGCCAAGGCAGGTGGATCACTAGGTCAGGAGATCGAGACCATCCTGGCTAATACGGTGAAACCCTGTCTCTACTAAAAATACAAAAAAAAAAAAAATTAGCTGGGTGTGGTGGTGGGCGCCTGTAGTCCCAGCTACTCGGGAGGCTGAGGCAGGAGAATGGCGTTAACCTGGGAGGCGGTGCTTGCAGTGAGCCGAGATGGCGCCACTGCACTCCAGCCTGGGCGACAGAGTGATACTCCATCTCAAAACAAACAAACAAACAAACAAACAAACAAAAAACACTGAGATTTTAGTGGTGATGTAATTTGGAGAGATAACAAGACCAAAATTATAATTATGGTTGTGGGTGACTGATATAAAGAAAATAAAATACATTTATTTGAGGGTGAGGAAGTTAAAGCCAAGCTATGGCACACATCATCCAGAATTTGCTCCAATGTCAAATTTCAAAGAATAGAGACAATAAACATTATAGATTAGACTCTGGAAGTCAAATTCTTTATCCTTCTATAGCCCTTCTGTATCTTTTCTCACCTGTGGTAATTTCTATAGCCCGTCTCACCACAGCCTACACACTTTATTTTCTCTGTCTTAGCATAAATTTTATTTCTGTAAGAAATGATATGAAAAAGACATATTTTCCTATTCTCAAATATTAATACCTGCTAGAAAGGGGGTCTTTTCTAGCTTATTGAAAGAAAATCTATATCAAAAGAAGATAAGCCCAGGCTAAATTTGCTTGTTTTATTTCTATTAGAAGGAAAAGATTGGTAAGTCTCCTATGCTTGTTGCGCTATCTCAAGGTACAAAAAGTTTTTTCTAGGAAGATACAAGAAAAAAATGTTAAAACCAGAGCTTGAGCAACATAAAGTAGGAAAATGATGTTAAAAGTTAAGAGAAAGAATATTGAAGGCAGGTTTCACCAACTTCATTTTTTATTCATCTTATTTTGCCTGGAAATGTCTAATATCAGTGCACTTCCAAAAGAATGGATTTTTAAAAGTGGCCAGTTTCTCCACATTGATTTTTTCTCTTTTTCTTAAGTATTTAAACATTTTTTAGAACATACAATGAATGTCATTTTTATTATATCACATATGAATGTTCTTTTCTAAAAAAACAATGTGTACAACCTGAGAGAGTATGATTGAAGAGGTTGCAAGCTCTTTCACCTATGTGGAGACCTTGGTAAGTTTCAATTTTCTATAGAAACACTTTTTACGTTTTGCTTTAGGTATTATAAAATAGTGTATTTTTCAAAATTATAGCCATAAAGTTGTAGATTTGCAATGAAAATACTCTCTTTGCCAGGCTAGACTTCAACTTCCTTTCCTCTAATCAAGAATGTCCAAAAGCAACAGTGTGACAATTAATGACAAGATGCTAAGTATTTGTAGTGTACTTTTGTCTTTGTGAACTGATAGCTGTCCTGGGTTTTTTTGTGCTTTTTACATATCTCCTTTCTTTCTTTCTTTCTTTCTTTCTTTCTTTCTTTCTTTCTTTCTTTCTTTCTTTCTTCTTTCTTTCTTTCTTCTTTCTTTCTTTCTTTCTTTCCTTCTTTCTTTTTTCTTTCTCTTTTTCTTTTTCTTTCCTTCTTTCTTTCTTTCTTTTTTTCTTTCTTTCTTTCCTTCCTTCCTTCCTTCCTTCCTTCCTTCCTTCTTTCTTTCTCTTTCTTTCTTTCTTTCTTTCTTTCTTTCTTTCTTTGCCTCTTTCTTTCTTTCTTTCTTTCCTTCTTTCTTTCTTTCTTTGCCTCTTTCTTTCTTTCTTTCTTTCTTTCCTTCTTTCTTTCTTTCTTTCCCTCTTTCTTTCTTTCCTTCTTTCCTCTTTTTTGAAAAAATTCAATCTCACACATGTTTCTGAGGAGGTGAACAACAGAAGGAGAAAAATATTCAATCGTCGCCCATTGATGTCCTACTCTTAAATTCTGCAATAGAATCTCTGCTGTTATTTTCAGTCTGTCTTTTGGAAAGGGAAGCAGATTCCTTTATGCGTCTCCTTAGCCAATTTTTAAGTATTTACTTCCAAATACGATAAGTTGTAAACTATTGCAAATCTGTAAAACATCTATTTGGATTTGAAAGTTTTCATTTATTCCAACTCTACCGAAGTTCTATTTTTATTCAACTAATCTCCAAATGTCCCAACTTTTCTGCATTAATCTGTACAGGAAGTTTTAAATGCAACTGTACTTCCAAGGTGATTTAACATAAGAAAAACCCAAACGGGTAAGATTATAAAATTGTCCTATGCATTCCTTCTCTCTGGTTGTATCCAAACAATAGTGTCAATCAAGGTCTATACACAAATGACCTTGTATGGGTTCAGGTGCTTCAATCATGTCTGTAACATCATTAAGCTTAAGTTTTGACTCAGAGATGCCAAAATGGTGGCTGTTTACTGGTGGCCCTGTTATGATAATTTTTTTTTTTAGTTTTGAATTCAACTTTAATACACATGGAAAAAAGGAGGCACAATGTGATCACAGAAACAGAGATTGAAGTAATGAGGCTACAAATCAAGACGTTTTCAGAAAATTCTTCCTGCCAAGCTGTGGTCAAGTGTGTCACATGAGTAGTAAACTTATAAATGTGCCTGTCTGTGCTCTAACTACCTGCTGCAGAATGCTGGGCTGCACTTCCTTCCAAACTGCTGCAGCCAGCCTGCCATCTTCCTCTTCTTTTTCCTCCTCATCCTCTGCCTATATCTACTACACCTCCACTACTGGGCTAGCTCAGAAAATCCAATCTCACTAAAGCATTTCACGCTGGATCATTAGTAAGAGATGGACCCATACAGATTACAGTTAAAATCTACTGACTGTGACATTAAAGAAGACACAGAATTTCAATGGAAGGGAAAGCCTGTACCATCACCAAAGGCATGGAATCCACTAGTTACTGTCTTGAACCTGCAGTATGTTATCCTAAAACCTAACTGTAGTGTTAGCAGCCCAAGTTACAAATGTCTTAATTATTCCTACTAAAAGCCAGATAGATGGGAAGAAACTGCTGACAAAAGTCGATGTAGAGAGGAGCCCAGGTAGAACCTCTCTTTTCAATACAGAAAATATGGAAACAGAAACTGGACTGATCCCAGTAATAACCTGGCCCTTGAGGAGAAAGTTACAGCAGGCTCACCCTAGAGGCCCAACACACACACTGCCACTTTCTACAATAGCTTTAATGAATGAGATGGATGCCATCTCTGCCTGACTCCATGCGATGATCCATAAAGTATACAGATAAAACCACCCAAATCCTTTGTGCAGAAATATTTTATAATAATGCCACTTCAAGAATTAGAGCAGGTATGGAGCCCAAACTTACTGTGATAATAAAGTGGGTAATGGGATATTTTCTGATTCTCATGATCAGTAAGAGAACCAGATGGGAAAATGTAATCTCCAAAGTAATGTTTATCCTGGAATAATCCAATTTAGGTTAGAGATATTGTTCAAATTTGACCAGATAACTCTAGTTTGTACTGGATAGGTACATTATGACGTTAAGAAAATAGCCTGGTTCCTGTTCATCCTAGATATTCATGGGAAATTGCAAAGTATTTCAGCTGTAAGGCTTATGCATATATTGCTGCAAACGTGATCAATAAAAAAGACTTGCTAGATTTTATTTCTATGATTGTTTTGTAAACAATTAAGAGGTAAAACTATCCCTCATCCCCATGCAACTGTTTTCTAGAAGGATTTGAAACAAAAGAACTAACATAATTTTCAAAATTAGAATGTACCATTTCTAGCAACTTAGTGATATCTGGGCTTACTGAAATCTAAGATGTTCCTTAATTTTATATCTGCTGTCCACATTCAGGCAACTAAATAAAAATTTTACAAAGACTTCTACATGAACCTTATATTTTCCACAATGCCTCTGAAGTTCATAGTGGGTTCACTGTGAGACCTAGTTCCCTTTCCTCAACAGCCCATGTATTTTTTAAAAAGTAATAATATACATCTTACTGGATTTTATTTTATCCTGCCAGTCTAGGTTTACCAGATTTAGCAAATAAGAATGAAAGATATGCAAATGAGTTTGAATTTTAGATAAATAGCAATAACTTTTTAAGTATAAATTTGTCCCATTAAGCAACAAACAATTTTCTTTAGTGTAAGTGTATTAGTCAGGGTTCTCTAGAGGAACAGAATTAATATATATATTTTATATATATATACATATAATTATATACATATCCTATAGGAGAGATATATATCTCTTATTAGTTTATTAAACTTAATAAACTTTATTAAACTTAATAAAACTCCTAGGAGTTTATTAAGTAGTATTAACTCACATGATCACAAGGTTCCACAATAGGCTATCTGCAAGCTGAGGAGCAAGGAAGCCGGTCTGAGTCCCAAAGCTGAAGAACTTGGAGTCCGATGTTCGAGGGCAGAAAATATCCAGCATGGGAGAAAGATGTAGGCTGGGAGGCTAAGACAGTCTGGGCTTTTTACATTTTTCTGCTTGCTTTATATTCTGGCCAAGCTGGCAGCTGATTAGGCCCATCCCAATTAAGGGTTGGTCTGCCTTTCCCAGCCCACTAGCTCAAAAGTTAATCTCTTTTGACAACATCCTCACAGACCCACCCAGGATCAATACCTTGCATCCTTCAATCTAATCAGGTTGACACTCAGTATTAAACATCACAGTAAGTATGTCCTAAATGTTGCATGGGACATATTTATACTAAAAATAATTCATTCATTGATCTAAAATTCACATTTAATTGGGCATCAAATATTTTATTTAGCATCCTTATTAGTCAGTCTCCTGCAAAGTCGACAAGTACTGTATTTCTGGGAGTCCTCCCTTTGCCAAACATGTCCGTTTAGCAGTGGACACTACTGCTGTAGTTTCAGCCATGATGCCTATCACATATGCGCTTGGTATTGGAGAGGAAGAGGAACTCTGATTACAGTGAGTGTGACTGAAGGCACAGGATTAGCTTTCATGCTGATATACTCCTCTGCAGTTTCAAGAATGAGGACAGCAGCTCTTTAAGGATAGGAAAGAAGAAATTTCAGACCTTCACTGAACTTTCTAGTTTGACAGGAAGAGCTATATATATATGATATCCTTGAAATATCCTCTGGTTCACTTAGGCTAAAAAGACAATTTAGAAATTTCCCAGAAATGCCTATTTTTCACAGTCAAACATGGCTGAGATGCCAAATAGAGTGTTGTTGGAAAGTCACCAGATTAGAAAGCATACCCAGGGACAATATTTGACACTTAAGTGGCAGTCCTGTTTATGAGACACACATTTAAGTTTGCAACACATTTATGGAGGAAAATTAAACAGATAGTGAAGATGAGGTATATCTGCTTCTAGTAAAAGTCATTTTTTAAAAAACCTGCTAGCTACGTTTATACTATGTAAGAATAAAGGGAATAATCACTGAGAATAAAGAAATTGTGTATTTTTAACAGATATTTTGGAAAGCACTTGTAATGTTTATTATATTATAAACCACCATGTATGGCATCAATTTAATCCAGGTAATTTGACCATTTGTGTGATATAAAGGTTTATTAAAAAATGTGATAGGAATCAAATATACACACATTTGCAAAAAACACATTTATACTGCCATTGTTCCAGTATAAATGTGTCCTACCTTGCATCTTTTACAAATTTTTATGGCTGATTTGATATTGTAATCATTCAAGAACCTTGTAAATGCTATGGCTTTATCAAACATCATTTATCAAGCTTATCATGAAATATTCAACTTTAATAGTATAGATTTTATAAAATTAAGTGCATCTATTTAGATGTAGAGGTTGGTAAACTTTGACGAACGTATTTACCTTTGTTATCAACATGTAAATTAAGTATTTTTATTTCTGCCAAAGGGTCTTCTCTGCCCCTTTGCTGTCGATACAACCCATTATCAACACAGGTAACATCTTACTTCTCTCTGAAATTATAAATTTGTTTGGCCTGTCCTATAATTTAATATAATATCCTATTCATATATATAGAATCATATGCTAAGTCACATACTAATTACTATTTTGTGCCTGGGTTCATTTGTTCAACACACTTTTCTAATTTAGCCATCTTGCTGCATATATCAGTAGTTTGCTTCTTTATATTTCCGAGTAGTGTTGTACTTTATGGTTAAGCTACAGTTCTCAGTTTTTGGTTATTTTGAATAAAGCAGCAGTGAACTTTCAGGTACACATCCTCACATGTATATATTTTATTTCTCTTAGATAAAAACCTAGCAGTGAAATTCCTGGGTCATATTGCAAGTATGCATTGAATTTAACAAGAAACTATCAAGCAATTTTCATGAATTTTCATAAATGGTTGTACCATTGTTCACCCCCACCAGTAGTGTTTACTGTTTTTACTTGTTCCTTACTAATAGTTGGTATTTTTTTACTCATACTAATGTGTGCATAGTGGAATCTCAATGAAGTTTTTATTTATAATTTCCAGAAGACTACTGATGTTAGACATCTTTTTTATGCTTATTAATCACATATGTATCTTCTTTTAGAGGTGTCTATTCAAATATTTTAATTATCACACTGCATTCCAAAAGGTCCATTGTTCATTCCTAGTGTTCTATCAATTTTGTAAGTTTATGGGAATATAAAAAGTGTAAGACTAAAGGTAAAATCAGACAAGAAAACTTCTAAAAAGTCTGAAGTTAAATAGAAGGGTAAATATAAAACAATATGTTAGGAGAGAAATAAAATGGCCAAAGAAATTTGAAGGTCACTGAACATTTACCATATAGATACACTCTTGGAAAACTGATAGTCTCATATTTAGCTGCGGGAACAACATAGAAGAAAAGCATATTCTAACATTTTATTATCTTACATCCTTCATATTCAATATGAAGGAAGAAAAATGTTGTCCTGATCACTTCACTTTTCCTTTTCAAAGACGAGCAAGTACTCTAAGTTGATGGTTGAAAGTTTAGGTCAGAAACTTGGAGGTTGCGTAAAATGACAAAAAGCAAACAAACAATAATTGAGAAGAAAATTTTTCCTTTGGCTATACTTCCTGCTTACAAATTTAATTTCTAAGATAAATAGATGAGAATTTCTTTTTCAGAAAGCCAATATGAAGACACTTTTGTTGTTATAAGGGCTTCCTATTTTAAAGCATGGTGCTGGGAACAGCATTTTTTGTATTCATGAATAATTAGAAATGATTATTTTAAACATAACATAACATTATTGCTATAGATAATGCAATTGACCAAATATAAATGTGATTGAAAATAGATTTTGTTTTAATATATTTGCTGCAAAGAACAGGTCTTCATATATATATAAATAAAATGTGAGCTCAAGCCTTGAGTGAAAATAAATAAAAAAGTGAATAAAACAAAAGCATTGATTTCACATTTCTTTCTTTGTCTTACAATGACAATCATAGTCATTTAATGCTTCCCCTTACATAAATTTAACTTTGTGCCATAATTTAGGTTTCATTTTCTTATTTTAATTTAATATAAGAAATTTGACCATTTGTCTTCTTAAAATCATCTTTGTTTCCTCAAGTGATCTTTTCTCATTTCTTAGCACTTAGAGTATGTAAGAATTAGCGATACATGAATGATACCTTAATGAGAACAATTAGAATAAAACTCAACATTTTTAAATGAAATATTCAGTAATGAAAATAACAGCAAAAACTGAGGTGCAAAATCATCTTGGAATACATAGTAATAATTAAAAGTGAAGAGATAATATTCACGAACCTCAAAGATAAACAGAATTTGAAAAGAAACTTCTTTTCACTTGAGAGAAAAGTATGGAAAAAAATTGAACAGCAAATATATATTAGAAAGATTCTCACTCCAATCAAGGCTATTTTATTATGTTTTTTAACAGAATTAAGTTTTTCTTTAAATCTTAGACTTTTCTGAGTATCAAGATGCTGAGAAATATCACATTTTCTTTCCAAAATTATGTCTGGCAATATATCCTTTTTTTGCATTTGTACATTAAGACAATGCAATGTTATAAAAATTGAAACACCATTCAAAGTTAAGGACTCAAGCCTGTTGATTTCAAATCTTAAAATAAAGCTGCATCTATCAAGAGAGTGTGGCGTCGAAGAAAGGATAGATACACACATCAATGGAACAAGAAAGGAGTCCAGAAATAGAAACAGACATATATGATTAATCGATTTGCAACACAGGTGCAAAAGTAATTCAAAGAAAAAAAAGTCTTTCTAGCATTTTTTTAAAAAAACAATTATATATCCATATGTGGGAAGAAAAGCTTCAAGCACATACCAAAAAACACACAGTAGTAGTATTTCAAGTATTACGGTTTTGTCTCTGTACTTTCCATTTGGATTTATTTGATATTTCCATTTCTCTCCTAATTTTCACATTATTTTTTCTACATTATATTAAGCATAAACTTCTAATATCTTTGTCTACTAACAAGATCAACTCTGTAATTTTTGTGTCTTTTCTGTTGGTTGATTTTCCTTCAGGTTGTGGTTCATCCATTCATCCATTCCTGTTTCCTTGCAAGGCTGATACCTTTTTTTCTTGCTGAGAACTGCGAATTCTTCTTTGTTGGGTCCTCTTTTTGTTGCTGTTGTAGTTGTTGTTCTTTTCTTGGAAAATTATTGCATTTTATCTGAGAAGTAGTTAAGTATTGGAATCAATTTGATTCTTTCTAGACTTGCTTTTAAAATTAGCTAGGACAGGTTTAGAGCAGCTTTTAGTATATGGCTAATTTAACCCCACTACTAAGGCAATACCATTTTTCGGCTCTACCCAATGCTCTATATGTGAGGAAGTCTTTCTACTCTTGCTGTTGCAAACATAACTGTTCCCATCCCTTTGAGAACTTAAGGAACTGTTTGCTTACTGCTTACTATAGTATTCACATATAAATTGATAATCAAAAAATACTCAAGGGGAAGCCTCTAAGGACGTCTGGAGATCCTTCTCTTTGCGGTTTCCTTCCCTCTGAGATTCTGCCCCACAAATTCTAGGCACACTGACCTCCCTGAAATTCAATCTCTATCTCCTTAATTTAGCAAGAGTGCCTGACTCTGGGTTTCCCTTCCCTTTTTTTAGTCTGGACACTGCCTCCAGGCAGTAAGATAGAGGCAAACATGTGATTGTCCTTATGTCTTTGTTCTCAGAGGTAATAGTTGTATACTGCTTATTGTCCAATATGTAAAACAAACAAACAAACAAACAAAAATAACCTATTGCTTTATATATATATTTCTCTGTTTTTCTAGTGTAATGTGAGAGAGTAACTTTAGTCCCATTTTCTTCTTATAACCAGAATGAGAAATTCTGTATAATCTTTAACATACAAATAATATGAATTTGGAATAATCACCAAGATGCATGAAATGATTGCATGAATAACTAAATGAATCACTGAGACAATTAAATAAGCAGTTGTTCACAGTGCTGCCAATACATATTCTGCATTTTACATATATGTGTCCCAGGGGCTTAGAGGTTGAGTTTACAACCTAACCTATTTAGAGATATAAAACTATCACACAGTTTAATAAAAAAGTACTTAGGTGCTAATCAGTTTTGTATAGCTCCAAAGTTCATTAGTGGTTCAGGGAAAGTAATGATTAGTAGAGGTGGAATGACTGGAATTTTATAAAGTAGAACTTTATGAGCAAAAAGGGAAGGCAACATCCAAGTGGAAGAAACATAACTGCATGCATGATGTTGGCGTTTGCGTGAAGAATGGATATGACAGACACCTTTAGAAGAGCAGCCTGGGAGAAGAAAACATTATTATATAACAAAAGAACAGACCTTACAAAATAAATTTAAGAACTCAAAACTGCCCTTGTTACCCTTGAAGTGCAACTTTAGACAAATTATTTAACCACTGAACTTCTAAGTCCTCATCTACAGCCCTTCTTTTTTAATTTCAAAGAAGCCTGTGGTATTTCCAGCAGGCAAAATTAAGTGAACACCCCCTTGGCAACGGTTACACATTATTTTAAAATGTAATCATTTTATGTCCATTCTCAAGTACATTATGAATTTGAGACTAAGATAAAATTATGTACTCTTATGTGCCTGAATTTAGTTCTTTACATACATAACATTGATTACTCATTTATGTCTCAGACCTAAAGCCTAAGGTCCTTACTTTTTTTAAAAATTTTATTATTATTATACTTTAAGTTTTAGGGTACATGTGCACAACGTGCCAGTTTGTTACATATGTATACATGTGCCATGTTGGTGTGCTGCACCCATTAACTCGTCATTTAACATTAGGTATATCTCCTAATGCTATCCCTCCCCCCTACCCCCACCCCACAACAGGCCCCAGTGTGTGATGTTCCCCTTCCTGCGTCCATGTGTTCTCATTGTTCAATTCCCACCTATGAGTGAGAACATGTGGTGTTTGGTTTTTTGTCCTTGCGATAGTTTGCTGAGAATGATGGTTTCCAGCTTCATCCATGTCCCTACAAAGGACATGAACTCATCATTTTTTATGGCTGCATAGTATTCCATGGTGTATATGTGCCACATTTTCTTAATCCAGTCTATCATTGTTGGACATTTGGGTTGGTTCCAAGTCTTTGCTATTGTGAATAGTGCCGCAGTAAACATACGTGTGTATGTGTCTTTATAGCAGCATGATTTATAATCCTCTGGGTATATACCCAGTAATGGGATGGCTGAGTCAAATGGTATTTCTAGTTCTAGATCCCTGAGGAATCGCCACACTAACTAGTTTACAGTCCCACCAACTAGTGAGACTGTTGGTTGAACTAGTTTACAGTCCCACCAACAGTGTAAAATGCATTTCCTATTTCTCCACATCCTCTCCAGCACCTGTTGTTTCCTGACATTTTAATGATCGCCATTCTAACTGGTGTGAGATGGTATCTCATTGTGGTTTGTGGTTTTGATTTAAGTTTCTCTGATGGCCAATGATGATGAGCATTTTTTCATGTGTCTGTTGGCTGCATAAATGTCTTCTTTTGAGAAGTGTCTGTTCATATCCTTTGCCCACTTTTGGATAGGGTTGTTTGTTTTTTTCTTGTAAATTTGTTTGAGTTCATTGTAGATTCTGGATATTAGCCCTTTGTCAGATGAGTAGGTTGCAAAAATTTTCTCCCATTCTATAGGTTGCCTGTTCACTCTGATGGTAGTTTCTTTTGTGGTGCAGAAGCTCCTTAGTTTAATTAGATCCCATTTGTCAACTTTGGCTTTTGTTGCCATTGCTTTTGGTGTTTTAGACATGAAGTCCTTGCCCATGCTTTTTAATTGTCTTCATTTAAAGAGACTTATGTAAGAGTATTTGGAATATAAGAAAACAAATGCTAAATTACTTACCATTTTTCCTGTACAGTCTTTTATTTGTGCCCAGCATACTACAAAATACAAATATATCAGTATAAGAAGAGCCATAACAGTCTAGCAGTTGATACCTAAAATATTTTGTAGATTTTGAAGTGCAAAAAATTAACCTTTTTCATTTGCTTGGGTAAAGAAAACTACAATGGTAGAAAATTATGGGTACATTCTGAATTATAGCTACTGCCAAAATTTCTGTCATTTTCAAACATGGCAATTTAGCATAAATTGTTTTCAGTTGTAATAATTTTTATCATACATTTAACTATTAGAGTTGCCAAGTCGTTCTAGCACTTTTAGCCTGGCATTGTTGAAATATGACTTTCAGAATTATCTCCTGGAATCTCTCAGTGCCAAGCATGATGTCTTGAATGATAACTGTTTTTCCTAATGTATAAATGTAATGAAAATGCGGGTGATGCTTTATTTTCCATATTCACTGCATGTGTCTATAAAGTTATTCTAACAGTGCCCAGTATATTTTTGAGCTTTATTGCAGAAAACTTCAGAGAAGTATTAGCATAGTTTTAAATATTGGAAAATGGCAATATTTTTGGGGGGCAGAAATCAAGAGGTAGAACTGATATTTGGAAACAGTTAAAACTCACTGGACTCAAGACTGGTGAAGAGCATGCTAGATAAATCACGAAAATAAAACAAAAAATAAGACAACTCTCCAAATAATGAGATTACAGTTTTTGTGTGATTCTTTACCTCCAGGAGTCAGTCAAATGGAACAGTTCCAGGGAAAACTTGGTCTAAATAGAATAAATGAAGTAGCCACTAACAATGACACTACTGTCACATGTAACACCTGATTAAATGTATAAGTTCTGGTGTGCTTCTTATAACATGTCACATGATTTTGTAGCTACCCCTTTGTGACCCAATGCACATTAAGTACTGGTTTTTAAATTGTTTTCTGGTTTTACATTCAAACTACCACACATGGTGTTTACCTTGAATAATATTGTATAGCTCATTAGAAATAGTTTAACATAGAATACCACACTCACTTATCAATAATATAGAATAAATTTTATGAAATATAATGAGTTACCAATTCTTCCAGATGCATGATCTTATCTGAATCTTCTAGGTTCTTCTTATAAAATGTATTTAAATAGTATCATATTTATATTACATTCCTAGCTCACCATGGACTAAACCTCTAAAATATGCTACATAATACGAATTGCTTGAATAAGTCCTTATCTCTACCTCTTTTTTTTCTTTTTGTTTATTTTCTACCACATTCTTGTTTTTATCCCCCATTTCTACCTGAAGTTCCCACTGCTATCAACTGTTAGAAAATATCTGAAGCTAAAAAGGACACAATCAGGTATGCAATCAGGTAAAGATTAAGGTTGGCTCAGCCCAGAATAAACAAAATTTTTCAGAAATATGGACACTTTATTTATGTGAAAGAGTCAGGAGAAAAACTGGCCACAGTAGTAAAGCATGTTATCAAAATAATTGGGAAACATAGGGAAAAGAATAGCAGAAAGTAGTATACTGTGTGTTTATTAAGTTGGGTCGTAAACAAGAGTGATGGGAAAGCCCCTTCCCACACTCTTTTCCTGATGATCTCATTTCCAATACCTTCATAAGCCATTTCTTTCATTTGATATACTGAAAGCAGTCTTTAGATGCAAGCTTTATGTGACATATTAACATGTTATAGCCATTAACTTATTATGGTTGCTATTTTGGTTTGTATTTCTTCATATCTTTATAGACGAGGACAAAGAAATCATTTGGGAGCCTCACCTGTATCTCCTGTGGCAGTCATTAAACATTTCCACACATATTCTAGGTTCAGATGAACATAGTTGAAAGTTAATAATGTGATGATGCTTGGTTTAACATGTGTGTGTATATGCATGTGCTTATGTGTGTGTGTGTGCATGTGCTTATATGAGTGTGTGTGCTTATATGAGTGTGTTTGCTTATATGAGTGGGTATAATCCTTCCTCTCCAGACTAAACTCTATACATGTTCTGTATCTTATGGCATCATTATGCAGGGTTTAATTCTAAGGCCTGAATATTTTAAAACTCAATTTTTCTTTCCTCATCCAAGTGTTATATCTCACTATGGGTTGATTTACAATAACTAAACTAAAAAGAGTGATTTATGTATCAGCAAATCCATTTATTATTTATAATGGGAAATATCGCTAAATACTTACAGAGATGTCCCTTTTCCAATACCTTGGCATTAGGAAGTTATATCACTAATTAGAAAGCACCTTACTGAGATAGAACTTCTCCATTAATAACTGGATGTTCTTAAAGAATCTTTCATCAGAGTGACATTATTTGTTAAGTTACCTTTTTCTATCTCAGAATTCAAACTACCATGCTATTTACAATATACGTACTAGGTAGAAGCATAGAGTAAGATAGTGGTACTAGGGTTTGGCTGGGGTAAATAGGGGAATACAAAATTTCAGTAAGATAGGAGCAATACATTTGAGAGATCTATTGTGCAACATGTTGATGATAATTAACAGCAATGTATTGTATTCTTGAAAATTCTTAAGAGAATGGTTTTGAAATGTTCTCGCCATTAAAAAATGATGCGGATTTGAGGTAATGCATATGTTAATTAGCTCAGTTCAGCCATTCCATGAGGCATATGTATTTCAAAACATCATGTTATACATGATAATATATACAGTTTTATCAATTACAGTTAAGTAATTCATTAAAATATCTCTTTCTTCTCAGAAATTATTAAGGAATATGAACAAATTACTCAATACTGCATCATTCCCTATTTACAGATACCATGAGGATCATGATAATTTTTATTGGTTCCTGTTACCCACTCTTTTTTTTTTCCACAGGACTATATATATGTTCAATTCAATTTAGGAAATATCATCCTTAACCTAAAGAATCATAGTGATCTTTACCTCTGAAAGAGTATTGGATACTCATGGTGCCACAATCCCAGTCTCTTGAAATCGATATTAGCCCTGCTGTTGTCAAGGGTTCCTTTCTGTGCCCAGTAAGAGTCCTATGGAAGCCATCCATTTTGTATGACTCTGCTCTCTTCCCTAAGGGATTTCCCTGAAGTCATGAGTTCCTGCTCAGCTCCTACCCAAGCACAGAAGCAGCCCAGAAGTGTTGGGAGAGTTATCTTCCTCAGGGATAATTCTCACCCTACAGAGGATGAGAGCCAGTGTGACTGTTCATTGCCCAAGTATTTCTTGGAGGCATTTCATATACTACTCACAGCTTCCATGGGGTTGGTAGAGCTGCAACCTTGATTATACACTTTAATTAGACTTTTCTACTCTCACTCTTCCTGCTCCTCATTCCTACTCTATGAATGACATCTTCCAAAACTACTGACATATATACACTTGTGTCAAGCTCCACTTTTAAGAAAACTCAAATTAATAAAGAGGGCAAACTGAGAAATCATCTAACTCAGTTTTTACAATTTACAGTGAAGGAAACAAAAAGCCAGAGAATTTAAGTTACTTGGCTGAAAATACAAAATAAAATAATGATAAAACTAATACTAGAATAATTGTGTGTAATCTTAAATCTGTGAGTTATTATTACATGTGTCTCTGAAATAGCGAACAGGAGATAAAAAGATAAGAACTAGTCATTGAAAAAATATATATATATAAAATTTATAGAGGTAATATCAATCCTGATATCTTTCAATAATTGTCATGTCATTACTTATGCCTAAATTACACAAAACAGAGGCCTGTACCAATTATATCGTTAAAGCTATACAATGATTATTCTTATATTCCTCTTAGGGTAAATACTAAATATATAAATGCTTTATTCTCTGTGTTACAAATGCCTATTGTGTCTACTCAATGTCTTATGGTTATATGGACTCCCTGTGATCTCTTCAAATAGGCCTTAAATTGCAATGTGAGAAGAATCCTCATGAAGTTTAAAATAAATTGAAGATTTGAGTATCAGAAACTTGAGAGGAAAAGATGACTCTAACATAAATCTGATTCAGCAATAAGACAAATCAGTAACTTTCTTTTAGCATCAAAAATCTTTTCATGACAGCTAGCTATAGCGGAAAATTACTGAGGCATATTGGAAGACAAGAGCTTCTCAGATATATAAAATGTGTGTCTATAAGAGAAAAAGTAAATTGCTTAGAAACACTATAGAAACAGAGTGACTCAAATCTTTCTAGCAATATAATGTTTTTATTCACCATATGTATATTTCAAGTTGAGTTTTAAATTTATTTTATAGATTTCAGTTTATGTAATGGAGACCAAAGCTTGGATATATATGTATCTATTTCCATTTTATAATCTTGTTCACATAAAAAAATCCCTGTCTTTACAGTGGATACTATAACTTTCATTGTAAAACAACTAACATTATAACCTTGATTCCTAGATCACAGAACTTGAAACAGTAGCTATTTATTCTCATAGAAAGGTGACCATCTATCTTTGAAAACTGAATTGATACACCATCATTTTTATTAACATTAATATTCTGATAAAAAGTACTTCTTTAAAATTAATACTTTTCTATATAATACCTATATATTACATAAATACTAAAATTATACCTCGATTTTGCTAGTGGTGTCTCTTCCCTAAATATTTGTTTCTTTAATGAGTAGTGGTATTTTCTGGACTTTGAATTGTATTGATAAATGGCGTGAGTTTTCATGACTAATCTGACTTCCCCTTTCCTTTTCTTTCATCTCCTCAGACATTTTGCAATGTAGATTTTCATTAAAGGCCTGATGATTTCAACTGGTTGCTGTCACACGATCTCTTCATCAGTCCACTTTCAGGTTACTGAGAGTAGTGCTTTTCATCCTTTGTCACCACCATATCACCAGCACCTGGCACAATGGAAGGTAGTAAATAAATATTTGTTGAAATAAACTGAGTGAACTCTCACCTTTTTAATCTCTGATTTTTTTAATTTTTAAGATATTAAGAATTAATTCATACACAGATAATTTATAGTTTTTAGTGTACAGTTTTGTGAGTTTTTACAGTTTACAGTTATGAATCCACTGCTCAGTTAAAATATAAAAC
The DNA here is from genome assembly GCF_000001405.40 of Homo sapiens. NCBI lineage: Eukaryota > Metazoa > Chordata > Mammalia > Primates > Hominidae > Homo > Homo sapiens. The sequence goes on along the minus strand of NC_000006.12, from coordinate 48,938,837 downwards.
AGTTACAATATGTCCAAAATTTTCCAAATGTCCACCTCAAGACCAAACACTAGACAATCTCCAATCTGCTTTCTGTCCCTATGGTTTTAACTTTTCAAGAATGTCATATAAATGGAAACATACACAATAGAGGTTTTTTGGTTTTTGTTTTTGTTTCTGGCTGGCTTCTTTTATTTAGTATGCTCTATTTGAGATTTATCTATATTATTGTATGTAAATTTTCATTTTAAAAAGTAAAGTTCATATTAATTAGGCCAAAAAGGTAGAGATTATGTATTTTTATAGAACTCACCTATTAAATTTTTTTTTATTCTAAGAGTACCCTCTAAAGTGTGCCATTTGTGATTGGAGTTGACCCACCATATCCATGGGTTTCACATTCACAGACTCAACCAACTGGATCAAAAATGTTAAAAAAAAACCTAACAACTATAAAATTAATACAAATAAAAAACAATATACATAACATAGCATTTACATTATATTAGGTACTATAGGTAAACTAGGGATGATTCAATGAATACAAGAGGATATGCATAGGTTATATGCAAAGATGATGCCATTTTATACAAGGGATTTGAGTATCCAGGGACTTTGATATTGGTGGGGGTCCTGGAAGCAATCCTTCTTTATGCCTACAACTTTTTTTCTTCCTTGTGTCAATGGTGCTATGATCCCCTCCTATATCAAGTCCTGAAGACCATTTATGGATTGATGACTCATAAGAATGATTGAGGGAAATCAGAAAAAGTTATTAAAATTACTATTGTGGCTTATTACTGCAAAAGAATACAGATTAAAATCAGCAAAGGGAAAAGGCAAACAGGGCACAGTGAAGGAAAAATTAGGTGCATGTTTTCAGTTATCCTATTCCAGCAGAGACAGTACAAATTAATACAATTAATTAGTAATTAATTATTAGTACAATTAGTAATTATTTTTCTCTAGAATAATGAGTTTTTTTCTAACGTTTATGATAATAAAAACCTCAGGAATATATTTTTTCAAGTGATGCACTTTAAATGTCTGATATTTTCTTCCTTGTGGATATGTCAGAATAATTAACCAGAAAAAGGGATGTTATATACACAACTCTATCCACTATCCTTAAATGTCAAATTAAATAAGATTACTTTTTCAGCTTTTTAAACTTAAATTTAAAATTAACAAGTTGAGCATATTTTATTTTAAATTTATAATTTTTAATATTTTGAGGTAAATTTTAAATTTTATATTTAAATTTAACATTTATTCTTGTGTTACCAATGCCAATTGTGTCTACCCAATGTCTTATGGTTATATGGACTCCCTGTGATCTCTTTAAATAGACCTTAAATTGCAATGTGAGAAGAATTCTCATGAAATTTAAAATAAATTCAAAATTCAAAAACTCATGTATCTCTCCCACAAGGACACAAATTTAATATCTATCTACACCAAAAAATCAGTCTTATAAGAAGAAAACATTAAGTTAGCATTAACAGTACCTAATTTTAACTTCATATCACTGAAAGAGGCACTGAAGACATAGAAAAAACAGTCTTGAATCACCTATACCATCCTTACTCCATCCCCTGGCAGCAATGCCATTGTGTGAAAAGCATCTCTGGGCACTGGGCACTCTCTGCCATCCCCCAGAAGTGGCCACAGGTCAGGGAGAGAACAACTGTACACTTGGGAGAGGGAATACACAGCAATTGTGATATTGCATTAAACTCAGTAATGCCCCGTCATAGTAGAAAGCAAAACCAGGCTGAGCTCAGCTGATGTGCACCCATGGAGTAAGTATTTAAGCCAGCCTTAGGTAGAGGGAAATTGCTTATCCCAGGGGTTGGAACTTGAGCTCCGGCAAGATTCACAAATGTTGGCTAATGGGCTGTAGGGCTCTGAATAAACTTGAGAGGCAGTCTAGGTCACAAAGACTGCAACTCCTAGGTGTATCCCACTGCTGAACTGGGCTCAGAGCTAGTAGACCTGGGGGCCACATGGCCTACTGAAACACAAGCCAGCCAAGGCAGCTAAGGGAATGCTTGCACCAGCCTTCCCCCAGCCTTGGGCTGCACAGCTCGCAGCTCCAAAAGACACCCCTCCTCTTTACTAGAGGGAGGAGAGGGAAGAGTAAAGACAACTTTGTCTTGCATCTTGGATACCAGCTTAGCCACACTAGGATAGGGCACCAGTCAAAGTCATGAAGCCCCCTTTCCAAAACCTAGCTGCTGTACAACATTTCTAGGTCCACCATGGACCAAAAGGGAAACTGCTGCTTTGAGGGGAAGGAGCCAGTCCTGGCAAGATTCATAACTTGCTGACTAAAGAGCCCTTGGGCCATGAATAATCAACAGTGATATCCAGGTAATATACCATGGGCCTTGGGTGAGACTGAGACTTGCTGGCTTCAGGAGAGACTCAGCACATTCCCAGCTGTGGTGGCTACAAGGAGAGACCCCTTCTGCTTGAGAAAAGCAGAGGGGAAAGTAAAGGGGATGTTGTCATGCACATTAAGTACTAACTTGGCTACAGAGGAGGAGTAGAGAACCAAGCAGGCTCTTGGGGTCCTCATTTCCAGGCCTTGGCTCTTGGATAACATTTCTGGACATGCCATGGGCCAGAGAGGAGCCCACTCCCCTAAGGGTGTGTCCCAGGCCTGGCAGAATTTACCACAAGCTGACAGACTAGCACTTGGGCCTTGAGGGAATATCAGCAGTAGCCTGAAAATACTCCCCATGGGCCTGTGGTGATGGTGGCCGTAGGTGAGCTCCCCTGCCTGGGGAAAGGAAAGGGAAGAGTGGGAAAAATTGTGTCACATGGTTCAAGTGCCAGCTTAGCCACTGTTCAATGGAACACCAGGAAGACTTCTAAGATTTTTGACTCCAGTCCCTGGCTACTGGATGCCTCTTCTGGACATGCTGGGGACCTGGGGTACCCACTACCCTAAATGGAAGTACACAAACCTGCCTGGATTCACCACCTACTGGTTGTAGAGCTCCAGGGCCTTCAGTGAACATAGCCAGGTAGTGATTACAGCAAGCCTTAGGCAAGACCCAGAGTTGTGCTGGCTTCAGGTTTTACCCAGCACAGTCATATTGATGTTGGTCACAGGGGTGCTTGTGTCAACCCACCTCTAGCTCGAGGAGGTTCAGAACAGAGATATAGAGATTCTGTTTGTTTAAGAGAAAGCAAGGGAAAAGAACAAGAGTCTCTGCTTGGTAATCCAGAGAATTCTTCCAGATCTTTCCTAAGAGCATCAAAGAAGTACTTCTATGAGTGTGCAAGGACCACAGCATTATTGGGCTGGAATGGCCATAATGCAACTACAGGTTAGATCACAACACTTAAGGCTTTTAGAATACCTAGAAAGCCTTCCCAAAAGGGACAGGTACGAAAAATCCCAGACTGCAAAGACTACAATAAATACCCAACTCTTCAATACCCAGTCACAGATGAACATCCAGAAGCATAAAGACCATCCAGGAAAACAGGACCTCGTCAAATAAACTACCTAAAACACCAGGGACCAACCCTGGATAAACAGAGATATGTTACCTTTCAGACAGATAATTCAAAATACCTGTGCTGAGAAAACTCAAAGAAATGCAAGATAACACAGAGAAGAAATTCAAAATTCTATCAGATAAACTTAACCAAAAAAACTGAAATGATTAAAAAGAATCAAGCAAAATTCTGAAGCTGAAAAATACAATTGGCATACTGAAAAATGTATCAGAGTCTTTTAATAGAATTGATCAAACAGAAGAAAGAATTACTTAGCTTGATGACAGCCTATTTGAAAATACACAAAGAAGATAAAAGTAAAAAAGAATTAAAAAGAAAAAACAATGAATCGACTCAAAAGGGTAAATCTGAGTTATTGGCCTTAAGCAGGAGGTTGAGAAAGAGATAGGGGTAGAAAGTTCATTAAAAGGGACTATAACAAAAAATTTTCCAAACCTAGATGTTAATATTCAAGTATAAGAAGGTTATAAAACACCAAGCAGATTTAATTCAAAGAAGCCTACCATTTAATGATGAAACTCCAAAAGGACAAGTGAAAAGAAAAGATCCTAAAAGCAGCAAGAGAGAAGAAACAAATAACATACAATGGAGCTCCAGTACATTTGGCAGCAGACTTTTCAGTGGAAACCTTACAGGCCAGGAGAGAGTGGCATGACATATTTAAAATGCTGAAGAATATAATTTACCCTAGAATAGTACATTCAGCAAAAATGTCCTTCAATATGAAGGAGAAATAAAGACTTTCCCAGACAAAAAAAGCTGAAGGATTTCATCAACACCAGACTTTCCTATAGGAAATGCTAAAGGGATGACTTTGATCAGAAGAAAAGGATACTAATGAGCAATAAGAAATCATCTAAAGTTAGAAAACTCACTGGCAATAGTAAGTACACAGAAAAACAAAGAATATTATAACACTGTCACTGTGGTGTGTAAAATACTCTTAGCTTAAGTAGAAAGACTGAAAGATGAATTAATAAAAAATAATTACAACATTTCAAGACAAAGAGTACAATATATAAATTGAAACAATAAAAAGTTAAAGAGTGGGTTAATGAAGTTAAAATTTACAGTTTTTATTAGTTTTCTTTGTGCTTTTTTATTTGTTTATGCAGTGTTAAGTTGTTATCAGTATAAAATAATGGGCTATGAGATAGCTTTTCCAAGCCTTATAGTAATATAAAATCTAAAACACACAACATCAAATCTAAAATACACACAGAAAGGAAGAATTTAACTCATAACACTAGAGAAAATAATCTTCAGTAAAAGAAAGATAGGAAGGAAGGAAAGGAGTAAGGAAAAACAACAAAATAACCAGAAAACAAGTAACAAAATGGCAGCAGTAAGTCCTTACTTATCAATATTAAAATTGAAAATAAATAAATTAAACTCTAAAGACCCAAATAAATCTAAGCTGAAAAAAGAAACATTACAACAGATACCACAGAAATTCAAAGGATAATTAGTGGCTACTGTGAGCAATTATATGCTAATAAATTGGAAAATCTAAAAGAAAAGACAATTTCCTAAACATATACAACCTACAAAGATTGAACCATGAAGAAATTTGAAACCTGAACAGAATAATAACAAGTAACAAGATTGAAGGCATTATAAAAAGCATCCAAAATAAATAAATAAATAAATAAATAAATACCAAACCACACACAAACAAAAAACGCAGACCTGATGGCTTCACAGATGAATTTTACCAAGCATTTTCAGAATAACTAATACCAATCCTACTCAAACTATTTTGAAAAATAAAAGAGGGAGGAATACTTGCAAACTCATTTCTATGAAGGTGGTGTCACTTGATATCAAAACCAAAGACATATCAAAAAAAAAAAAGAAAACTATGGGACAATATCAATGATGAATACTGATAAAAAATATTCCCAATAAAATACTATCAAACTAATTGAACAATACTTTAAAAAGATCACTCATCATGACCAAGTGGGTTTTATGCCAGTGACAAAAGGATGAGTCAACATATGCAAATAAAGTAATGTGATACATCATATCAACAGAATAAAGGACAAAAACATATAATCATTTCAATTGATGCTGAATAAGCATCTGATAACATTCACCATCCCCTCATGATAAAAATCCTCAATAAATTGGGTATAGAAGGAACATAATGCAACCTAATAAAAGCTATATATGAGAGAGTCACAGCTAGTATTATAATGAATGGGGAAAAACTGAAGGCCTTTCTTTTTAGATGGGGAACACAACAAGGATGGTGACTTTCACCACTGTTACTCAACATAGTACTGAAAATACTAGCTACAGCAATCACAAAAGAGAAAGAAATAAAGAGCATTCAAATTGGAACAGAAGTTAAACTATCCTTGTTTGCAGGTGGTATCATCTTATATTGGGAAAAAGCTGAAGGCTCCCTCAAAAAACTATTAAAACTGGTAGACAAATTCAGTAAAGTTGCAGGATACAAAATTAACATATTAAAATGAGTAGCATGTCTATATGCCAATGTCGAACAATCTGGGAAAAGAATCAAGAAAGTAATCCCATTTACATTAGCTACAAATAAAATAAAATACCTAGGAATAAACTTAACCAAAGAAGTGAAAGTTCTCTACAAGGAAAACTGTAAAACAATTACGTGAGAAATTAAAGAGGAAACAAAAAACAAAAGGTATTCCATGTTTATGAATTGAAAGAATCGATATTTTCAAAATGTCCATACTACCTAAAGTAATCTACAAATTCAATGCAATTCTTATCAAAATATCAATGACATGCTTCAGAGAAATAGAAAACACAATCCTAAAATGTATATGGAACCACAAAAGATCCAGAATAACCATAACTATCCTAAGCAACAAGAACAAAACTTGGGGGAATCACATTATCTGACTTAAAATTACACTACAGAGCTATAGTAATCAAAACACCATGTTACTTGCATAAAAACAGACCCATAGACCAATGGAAATGGATAGAGAACCACACACCTACAGTGAACTCAGTTTTGACAGTGGGGAAAAGACAGTGTCTTCAATAAATGGTGCTGGGAAAACTAGATATCCATATGCAGAAGAAAAAAATTATATTCCTATTTCTCAGCTTATACAAAAATTAAATCAAAATGAATTAAATAATTAAATCAAGACCTGAAATGATTAAACTGCTAAAAGAAAACTCTGGGGAAACTCTCCAGGACATTGACAAGTGAGCAAAGATTTTTTGAGTAAAAACTCACAAGCATAGGCAACCACAGCATAAATGGACAAATGTGATGACATCAAGTTAAAAACTTCTGAACAGCAAAGGAAGCAATCAGCAAAGTGAAGAGGTAACACCTAGAATGGGAGAAAAATATTTAAAGACCATCCTTGTGACAAGGGATTGATAACCAGAATATAAAAGGAGCTCAAACAACTAAGTAGGAAAAAATCTAATAATCCAACTTGAAAGTGAGCAAAATATTGAATAGATACTTCTCTAACAAAGACATAAAAATGCCAAACAGATATATGAAAAGATACTCAACATCGATTATCAGATAAATGTAAATCAAAAATACAATTAGATATCATCTCATCCCAGTTAAAATGGTTCATATCCAAATGTCATGCAATAACAAATGCTGGTGAGAATGTGTATAATGTTGATGGGAATTTAAATTAGTATTCAACCAGTATGGAGAACACTTTGGAGGCACCTCAAAAAACTAAAAATAGAGCTGCCTTACAATCGAGCAATTCCACTCCTAAGTATATACCCAAAAGAAAGAATATCAGCATGTCAAAGAAATATCTGCACTCCCATGTTTGTTGCAGCACTATTCACAACAGTCAAGATTTTGAAGCAATCTAAGTGAAGCAATCAACAGATGATTAGATAAAGAAAATGTGGTACATATACATAATGGAGTACTATTTAGCCGTAGAAAAAAATGAGATCCTGTCAATTGTAACAACATGGAGGGAACTGGAGGTCACTATGTTAAGTGAAAGAAGTCAGGCACAAAAGACAAACTTTGCATATTCTCACATATTTGTGGGAGCTAGAAATTAAAACAATTGAACTCATGGAGCTAGAGAGTATGATGGTTACCAGAGACTTGGAAGAGTATTGTGAGGGAGGGAAATGAAGAGGGTTAATTGGTACAAAAAACAGTTATAAACAATGAATAAGGCCTAGTCTTTGCTATCACAACAGGGTAATTATAGTAATATATAATTTAATTGTACATTTTAAAATAACTAAAAATATATAAGTGGATTGTTTGTAACACAAAAGATAAATGTTTGAGGTGATGGATACCTCATTTACCCTGATGTAATTATTATGCATTGCATGCCTGTATAAAAATCTCTCTCATATAACCCATAAATATATATATATACCTGCTATGCACCCAGAAAAATTAAAATTAAGATATAAAAGATAAATATAAACTATAGCAAGAAAAACCATATATATTTAAATGTATTTAATGTAATTTATTATAGCTCATTTAATTTAGTTTTTAGTTTAATTTTACATAATTAGAATAAATATAAAGTTTATATTCTAATTTGGATGATTTGAAATTTTATCTTTCAATTAAGCTTGTAATTAAAAATGTTTTCTAAATTATTGATTCCATTCCTACTAGACACCCATTTAACTACTATTTATAAGGTGAAAGTTCTCCTTTTAACTACTTCTCAAACTTCTCTTCTTCCTTTCTCCTGAGTAACCACTATCTTCTGTTCAAACTCTCTTTGTGTCTTTCAAACTGTCTTTGTGTGTATAGCCCCAGCTTATTTTGTTACTGGTGTACCTAAATTTTATTACATTATACATAACGGTCTAATTTGTTTTTTTTTTTTACTCAACAATATGTGCTGGAAATCTTGCAAAGTTATTTTACATAGATACATTTCTGATAAATAGTGATCCATAAGATTCATATTTCATATTTATTCATACTTCATATTTTTAAAATCTACCGCTGCACCTACGGATAATTTAATTGTTGCTAAATTTCTATTTAAATGACTCAGTAAAAATGTGCATACTTTCTTATTATGTTCACATATTTCTGTACAGAAGAAAAAGAATTCAAAATGCTTAGATATGTAGAATATAAATTTAAAACTTTAATCTATCCTCAAATCAATATATGAGAATCCTTTTTCCACACCCTCATCTACACTCAATCTCAGCAAATCAAATAATATATTTTTAAAATGAGTATAATGAGTAAAACTTGCTATATTTACAAAATTGCACTATGTTGGTTAAATGCTGTTGAGAATATAGAGAAAGGGCAATTCATACACTGTTGATTGGAATGTAAATTAGTACAGCCATTATGGAAAACAGAATGGAATTTCATCAAAAAATTAAAAATAGAACTACCAAATAATTAAGCAATCTCAGTACTGGTAGAAAAAAAATATGTCAAAATGATATCTGCATTCCCCAGTTTATTGAAATGCCATTCACAATGTTCAAGATACGAAATTAACCTAAGTGCCCATAGATAAAGAAAATGTGTACTTATATACAGTGGAATACTATTCAGCTGTGAAACAGAATAAAATCCTGTAATTTGAAACAACATGGATGAACTTGGAGGACATTATGTTAGGTGATATAAGCCAGGCACAGAAAGACAAATACTGAATGATCTCATTGATTTACTTTTAAAACTATTTCCAGAGATTTGGTTCCAAAAGGGAAAATTGTAGAGTAGCCTTAATTTACCATTTGGAAAAGAGTACCAAAAGCTCATATTAACTTTCTAATTATTCACATTAAGAATAGAGGATTAATGCCACCAAACAAACACTCTCTGGACATTAAAAGTTCCTTCTTAAATGAGATGTGAAATTCTGAGCACCCATAGGCTTGCAACATTTTGGCATTATCTTTAAAAATTTAGATACTTGGGACTGCAAATTATTATACAATATACCAATCAGCAACATTTCTATTAAAATTATCTTTCTGTTCCGTGTAACTTTTTAATTTTATGCTTTATAAGAATATAATACCTATTCTAATGAGTTAAGGGTCCCTCATACATAAAAGGAGAAAAATCTAGAATGGATAGTCCTTAGAATTACATGAGCTGTTAAAAATGTTTTCCCAGCCCAAAGCACTCCTTTTACAAATGTAGAAAAGGAAACTCAGGGAGGTGAAGTTCCTTACGCAGCCACTTGTGGATGGGCAGCACTAGATAGGAGCTAAGCTTCCATGGTCTCTCTTTTTTTTTTTTTAACCACCTGTTAACTCTGCAGAAAATAAGTGGGGTGAATCTCAGCGGCATGGCCATGTAGGTCCAGCCCTGTATGATAGACATTTTAAATTTTTTATCATAGACATTTAGGAATCTAATAAATGCCAGGGATATTCTCCTCAGAATTTTTCATAAATAAAGATTAACACAATTTGACATTCAGGCTTATAGTTATCATCAACAATCTCAAATTTATCATTGGGTTTATATCAGCTGTGTTACAAGCACCTGTTTAGAAAAATTGCTACAATAGACCTTAACAGGGTATTTGTAACTCCAAAGTTAAAAGTTATTTCAATCAGTGTTTTTCTCCTAGTACTATCCTCTTAAAAAGTCATTTGCAACTGAAATAGTTTATGGGATTCAGTTATACTAACTCCACTCTACTGAAATGGAGATTTGGAAAGAAGAAAAGCAATTATCTATATAAAATGATGTATAGCAAAGAGATTCTTAAGTGCACATTATTTCACCTGAGGAAATACAAAATATTAAAGACTATATTTAAACATAAAAAAGTATTTTTCTGTAAGTCTGTAAATTAAATTCCTTATACATATATAATTTATAAAGTTCTACATTTAAAAATTTTATAAATTATATTTACTCTTTAAAACACATTTTATGTTAAGGAATATGACTTGGTAATGATGACCGATAAAATGAGAAGAAACATTTCACACAGCTTTTCTCAGTTTTTCCTGGAGCTGAATTTGTTCCCTAGAAGTTTGATCACTCCTTAGATAGTTTTCCTTTTCCTTCTGATTCTTGCTTTCTCTGATTCTATTTTATACTACACCTGTCTGTATTGTAGTCTAAGTATCATTACACATTTTCCCTTTTGCATTCCTCTTGCACTGCACCTGCTCAGCACAGATGGAGATTCTTCCCTTAATTCCTATCTATTCACTTTCAGTAAACTTTAACAGTGACAGTCCAAAAGAGCTTCACTGACCTGACTTTTGGTAGTCACAACTTCTTTTTTACAATACTGAACTTAATAAAAAATGTATATTTTTTCCTCTGCCCCTAAAATGTTGCTAGAGAGAAGTGGCTCATATTTTCAAATCTGAGTATACTTGTTAAAATGTATAAATGAAGATCTAGTATTCTGTGCCCATAGCAGTGCTGTTACATTTATCCCCTTGAGGAAACTGACTTAGTTCCAGATGTCAAAAGGAGTATGGAGTCTTAAGTTTAATCTGTCCTTAAATTACTTTTATAGATTTGTGTAATTTATTTGAGGAGCAATAAAAGTTGATGTATATGAATTTGAAGAGTTCTTCATTTTGGGGGAAGAATGCTAACTAATTTAGGGAAACATTTTGGAAAAACTTATACCTAGTTATGTTATGGTTTTCCTTCCAGCATACCATGCCATCACCTTTCCACCAACTTTCTGCTGCCTTTCTCCTTGTTTTCTACAGCCTATTGCTAATATCCTGCTCTCTTATTGCTGATATGCTGAGACATTGATACTGTCCCTAGTCATTTCCCCAGCTACTCTAGTACATACTCATTTACTCAAGGTTATTTATCTCAGCTGGAGGGGCAGGGCAAGTACAAAAGGAGAGTATCCATACAAAAATGAAACACAAGATTTAAATGAAGCCACAGTGAGATGTGAATGACAAATAGCCTACATGATGTATAGTTAATCCTCTTTTGATTTACATTTAAAACTGAAATCTAGTTAATATTAAATCTTTTTTATAATTAGAATCTAAAGTTTTGGTTCCTCTTTCCTTTTTTTAAATTATAAATTTACAGGCCCTTTAAATGTATAGAAAGATAAGTACTTGGTTGACCTGGGCTACTGTTGTATAGAAACAGAAGGCAATGAGGAAGAAAGGAATCTTGGTCAGTGATAAGGTTTCCTAGGTATGCAGGGCAAAGTTTTATGGATGGGCAAATTAAATTGGAAATGGAATATGTAGTCAAAATTCTGCTGCATCTCTTTGTTATCCTTTAAATGAAGAAAAACGTTGATCACCTTACTTACAGATATCCTAGTCTTCATGGGCTTTCTACCACTACATCTCCTGCGGTGGGTTACTCAATGCTCCATAGTCAGCATCAAGCCAGTTAGCACAACAGCCATTTAAAATCATTCCCATCTTCTAGCCCTTCCTGATTTTGATTTACCCTAAACAGACGACAAATTTACCTATACATACACAAATAGTTCACTAGCTATTCACTTTCAGTAAACTTTTTATAATTTTAACAGTGACAGTTCAACAGAGCTCCACTGAACTGGCTTGAGGTAGTTATACAATATCTTTTTCACAATATTGAACTTAATAAAAGATACCTATTTTTCTCTGCCCCTAAAATATTTCTAGGGAGAAGTGGCTCATATTCTCAAATCTGAGTATACTTGTTAATATTCATAAATGAAAATCTAGTATCTATCTATCTAAATCTAGATAGATACATACACACACGGGTGCACACACACACACAAACACACAGACTCACACACACATAAATAGTCTGATATTCTGCTGAATAATGTCTTCCTTTTTATTTGTTTAGCTTTTGAAACAGACTGGTTTGATACTTTTTCCAAGTAATAAAAACACATCAACTAATATAATATTTCCATTTCCCTATGTCATACTAAAAAGGACCATCCACACCCCACACCTCCTGATCTCTTCCACCCTGCTGTGTTCTTAACTGGACTCAACCTCTGAATTGAGTTTCACTGAAGAATTGGCTTAGAGTTATCAACATGAGATTTGTATTCACCACTCTGAGTTGTAGCATTTGTTTTTGGTATCAAATCACTTTTTTTTTTTTGAGAGGGACCCTGTTTTCAGATAGCATTTAAACTTTGAAAAATTCAAATGAGACAAATTACTACATCTTTGTTTTTGAGAAAATGTTATCTATTATACATTTGTTTGATAATGTGGTTAAGCACAGTAATATAAGTTGAAGATGAGTTTCTCTAAGCTCATTGAGGGCATTTTTTTTTTCTAGCATTCAAGTTTATCAGAAATAATTCTTCATGAAAGTTTTTTTTTTTCTTGCATGCCACAAGAGTCTGTATAGATGACACCAAAGAAATAGAAGTAGAAATAATAGTTAGAGACCATTCAGAGGGCACAGACTAGGGGGATATACATTTGGAAAACATTCCAAATCACTACTGAAGCATAACTTGGCTGGTAAATATTGTGAAATAAATACATAGGTATGTTATGTTCTCAATTTTTTTCCTTGTAAGAGAATATGTCCCATAAACCAAATTAAAAATTTGTAATTGTATACTTTTTATTTAAACAAGTTTAAAAATTGCCCAAAATTAGGTAGATATTCAAAACCTCCAGTATGCTAAATTTTTTAATAAAATTTTTTAAAGTGTTTTGCATTTTTTTTGGCAAAATTTGTTTGGCCATAAGTTATTTATATACACTTCACTTGGCATTCAAAGTGAAGTAATAAAATATACAAAGAGAATGCCTTAAAACGGCAAAGATTTAAAACACAGAGCAACAACTCTAAGAACTGTAGAGAAAAACTGACAAATCTACCAATAATTATAAAAATTCTTAACATCTTTATTGACAAAAAAAGCTCAGTTCTGTAAAATACTTAAAGAGATTCATTCTGACCCAAATATGTGTGAATATGGCTTTTGACACAATCTCAGAAGGTCCTGAGAACATGTGCTCAAGATGCTTGGATTACAGCTTTGTTTTATACATTTTAGGGAGAAAGAAGTCACAGGCAAAGACATATATCAATACATAAAAGGTAAACATTGGTTCAGCCAAGAAGGATGAGGCATCTCGAAGTAGGGGCTTCAAGATCATAGACAGATTGAAAGATTTCCTGAATGGCAATTGATTGAAAGGGGCAAACTTTGCCTAAAGAGTTGAAGTCAGCATAAGGAAATGCTTGAATTAAGGGGGATTGTGAAAGCCAGGGTTCTTATTATGTAGATGAAAGCTCTAAGTAACAGTCTTTAGATAAAATAGATGATAAATGTCTCTCACTGGACCTTAAAAGGTGTCAGATTCTCCAGAAAAGACCTAGTAAGTGACAAAAAATCTCTACAGAATGCAAATTTCCCTCACAAGAGATGGCTTTTCAGGACCATTTCAAAATATATCAAAGAAAATTTATTTTCAGATAAAATATTTTTATTTTCTTCAGGGCCTGCTTTCTGTCGTTGATGTTATACCTGAGTCAGGTTGGAGTTGGGTATCTTTTTACTACAAAGAGTCTGTCTTGACAGTCTTATGACTTCTATTTTAATATAAATTCAGGTCAGTTGTGCCTAAACTTCAAAGGGAGGATGGCATAATGAAGCATGTCTAACCTTGCTTTCCATAATGGCCTGCACCAGTTTTTCAGGTTTTCTCTGGGATCCCTTGGCGAAGAAAGGGTTTATTTAGTCGGTTGGAGAGGCTTAAGATTTTATTTTTGGTTTACACTATTTTCTCAATAATTGCTAGAATGAGGAGAAAGATTAATATGGTGTAAAAGATTTTAATAGCACTATCAGCCAACAAGAGAAAATTGACACTTATAGAACACTCTATCAACAAAGCAGAAGAAAATCTCTTTTAAAGTATCTATGAAATTTTCACAAATATGGCCTGTATTCTGTGACATTAAACAAGTCTTAATAAATTCGAAGGAATTTAAGTTACACCTAATATATTCTCTCCAGCTCTTGGAAATGAAGTAATATGCTCCTAAATAACCTATGAGTATAAGAAAAGTGAAGGATATTAGAAAATATTGTAAACTCAATGAAAGTAAAACCACAACAAATCAAGATTTATGGGATGCTACTAAAGTAGTGCTTAGAGAAATATATAATAATGAATATATTAATAATAAAGAAACGTCTCAAATCAATGACCTCAGCTTTCACTTTAAGAAACTGCAAAAATAATAGCAAAAAATACAATGAAATTAGAAAGACTATTTTAAAAATAAAATAACTAAAAAAAAAATGAAATGGAAAGCAGAACGACAGTAGAGAAAATCAATGTAACCAAAACCTAGTTTTTTAAGACTATCAATAAAAGTAATACACTTATAAACAAACTGGTCAGGATAAAAAGATGAAATTCACAATTAACAGTATAAAGAATGAGAACAATGACATCACTTTAGAGAATTAACTTAGAAAGGATAATAATAATATTCTGAACAATTTTTGATAAATTTAATAACAGATGAAATGGATAAATTCCTTTAAATACAACAACTACCAAACTTCACTAAAAAATAGAAATCAGGAGTAATCTCACATCTATTTAATAAATTGAATTTGTATTTAAAATAATTCTCACAAGGAATACTTCAGGTTCAGAGTACTTCACTAATGAATTCTATGAAACATTTAATGAATAAATAATACCAATGCTACACAAACTATTTCAGAGTATTTAAAAGAATAAAATACTCACCAAATCATTAGGGAATAATCTGCATTATCCAAATACCAGGACCAGAAAAACAGATTGCATGAAAAGAAAACGGCAGACCAATATTTTTTATAATCATATTAAAAATTTCTAAACACAATTATAGAAAATCAAATTTAAGCAATTATAAAATTTAAGATACCATGACCAAGTATAGTGTATTCCAGGAATGAAAGACTACTTTTATATATGCAAACAAATCAATATCACTCAACATACTACCCAATAAACATAAGTTTATAAATAGATACAAAAAAGCACTTGATAAAATTCAAATGATTAAGAAAACATTTAATAAATGAAGAATAGAATGAAAATTATTCAACCCAAAAAAGGGCATAAAAGAAAATCCTGCAGGGAATACCATATACCATGGTGAAAAACTGAATGCTTTCTCCAGAATATCATGAACAAATTAAAGATGTCTACTTTCACCACCTTCTTTCAATATTGTATAGAAGGTTTTAGCCAGTGTAATAAGGCAAGAAAAAGAAAATTTATTTTAAAAATACGGATTGGAAAGAAAGAAGTAAAATTGATTTGCTTCATGGATTACGTAATCCTCTATGTAAATATTTAATTTAAATCATGTAAAAGCTTCTACAAATAATAAATGAGTTTACAAAGTTTACCACACACAAGGTGAATATACCAAAAGTAATTGTGTTTCTATACACAAGTAATCAGAAGTTAAAGTACATAGATAATACCAATTAAAATAGCATCAAAATATACATTATTTGGAAATAAATTTGTCAAATGATGAGAAAAACCTGTGCACTGAAAACTACAAATTACGTATGAAAGAAATCAAAGCAGCTCTCAATCAAAGGAGAGCTCTAATACTGTGTTAAAAGACATCAGTATATTCAAGCTATTATTTATTTCTAAACTGATTAATAGGTTCATTGTGATCTCAATTACAATCACAACAGGTATTTTTATAAAAACTGACAAGCCAATTCTAAAATTCATATGAAAGTGCAAAGAAACTAAAGCAGCCAAATGCCTCTGAAAAAGAGCAATATTAGAGAGTGAACATTACAGTAATCAAGACAGTGTGATATCAGCATAAAAATATACAAACAGATCAATGATACAAAATAAATATTTGAGAAGTAGGCCTGTACATGTGTGGTTAATTGCTTTCAATACTAGTGTAAAATTATTTTTTTGGACAAAAGATGGTCTAAATGTTGATGGCCTATTTAGATAGCCATATGACAATTTCTAATAATAAAAAGTTAGATTTACATTTCACACCATAAATAAAAATTACTACATAATTTATTATAGACCTAAATGTAAGTTATAAATGTATAAACTTCTAGAAGTAAACATAGGATAAAACCTTTGTCACCTTGATTGAAACAAAATTTTTTCAACGCAATACCAAAAGAATGATCAATAAAGGAACCGTTTGATAAATTATATTTCATCAACATTTTTTAAAATTCTGTTCCTCAAATGACCCTCTTGAGGGCATGAAATGACAACCACAGACTGGACAAAATATATGTACATTTTATGTCTGATAAGGCATTTGATATATACTGACATATACACACACATAAACTTTATATGTGTGTGTGCAGGTATGTTTGTATTCATATACTCAGTAATAAGACAACAATATGCTTTTTAAAAATACACAAAATATCTGAACTGACACCTCACCAAGGTATAAAAATCAATGGCAGATATGCAAACTAAAACATAATCAAAATATTAGTAATTAGGGTCATGCCAGCTAAAACAACAAAGTGATGCCACTATGCATCTATCAGAATGATCAAAATTAGAAAGACATATGTCTTTGTCTGGACGTGCCAGTTAAAACCACAAAGTGATGCCACTATACATCTATCAGAATGATCAAAATTAGAAAGACATATGCACCAAGTATTGTCAAAAATATGGAGGAATTGAGATTCTCAAACCTTGTTGGTGAAAATGTTAAGTGACATTAACGCTTTGGAAATATTTTGGCAACTTTGTATGAAGTATACCTACCATCTGATCCCATTCTCCCACTATTAGCTATCTGCCCAAGAGAAATGAAAGATTTTTTCCACACAAAGACTTAAACAAAAATGTTTGTAGCAGTTTTATTTGTGATAACTAAAAACTGTAAACAGCTCAAAAGTTTTTCAATAAGTGAATAAAAATAGGTAAAAGATGAAATATTATTCAACTATAAAAGAGAGTTAACTACTGATCCATGCTATAATGTAAATGAAACTCAACATAATTACAAAATATTTCAACCACAAAAATAATATATAGCGTTTGAGTGTATGTTTCCATGTATACAAAATTTTACAAAATGTAAACTTATCTTTTGTGATGACTAATTTACGGTTGCCTGGGGATATGGTGGAAGGAAAGGGTTACAAAGGGCAATGGGAAAGTTTTTGGAGTGATGAATATGTTCTTTTTCTTGGTTGTGGTGATAGTCTATCTCTCCCTCTCTCTCTCTCTCACACACACACACACACACACACACGTGTTAGTCTTTTCTTGTATTGCTATAAAGGAATACCTTACACTATGAATTACTTTAAAAAGAGGTTTAACTGGTTCAAAGTTCTGCAGGATTTATAGGAAGCATGGTGCTGTCATTTGCTTCTGGTTAGGGCCTCAGGAAGCTTAGAGTCATGGCAGAAGGTAAAAGGCAGCAGTGAATCACATGGCCAGAGAGGGAGCAAGAGTGAGAGTGGGGGAAATCCCAGGCTCTTTTTAAACAACTAGGTCTCATGTGAACTAACTGAGTGATAACTTATTCATCGCCAAGAGGATGGTGCTAAGCCATTATGAAGGATCTGCCCCCATGATCCAATTGCCTCACAGTAGGCTTCACCTCTAACATTGAGAATCACATTTTAACATGAGATTTGGAGGGAACACACATTCAACCCATGTCATTCTACTCCTATCCCCCTAAATCTCATGTTCTTCTCATATTTTAAAATATAATCATCTCTTCCCAATAGTCCCCAAAAGTCTAAACTCATTCCAGTATCAAATTAAATGTCCCATGTCCAAAGTCCAAATTCTCATCTGAGGCTCAAGGTATCGTTATGAGCCTATAAAATCAAAAAGGAGTTATTTACTTCCAAGATACAATGGTGGTACAGGCATTGGGTAAACACTACCGTTTCAAAAGAGGGAAATTGGCCGAAGAAAGGAGTAACGGGTCCCACACAAGTCTGAAACCCAGCAGGGCAGTCATTAAATCTTAAAGCTACAAAGCAATCTCCTTTGACTCCATATCCCGCATCTAGGACACAGTGGTGCAAGGGGTGGGCTCCTAAGGCGTTGAGCAGCTCCACCCCTGTGACTTAGCAGGTTGTAGCACCTATGATTGCTCTTATGAATTGGAGATGAGTGTCTATGACTTTTCCAGGCTCAGGATACAAGCTGATGCTGGCTCTATTATTCTCAGGTCTGGGAGGCAGTGGCACCTTTCCCACAGCTCCACCAGGCAGTGCCCCAGCGGGGAATCTGTTTTGGGGCTCCAACTCCACATTTGTTTTCAACACTTCCCTAGTAGAGAATGCCTGCAGGAGCTCTGTGTCTGCAACAGGCTTCTGCCTGAGAACCAGGCTTTCCCGTTCATACTCTGAAATCTAAGTGAAAGCTGAGAAGCCTCCTTCACTCTTGCATTCTGTGCACCTGCTGGCTTAACACAACATGGAAACCATCAAGGCTTGTATCAGCCAGCACTCTTCAAAGCAGCAGCCCAAGCTGTACCTGGGGCCCTTTGAGCCAAAGCTGGAATCAGAGTGGCCAGGATGTAGGAAGCAGTGTCCTGAGGCTGAGCAGGGAGGCAGCACCCTGGACCTGACCCCTGAAAGCACTCTTTCCTCCTAGGCCTCTGTACCTGTGATGGGAGGGGCTGTCCCAAAGATTACTGAAATGTCTTCAAGGCCTTTTTACCATTGTCCTGTATATTAGCACTTGGCTCCCTTTTAGTCATACTAATCTCTCTAGCAAGTGATTGCTACTCAGTCTGCCTTTTCTCTACCACAGGCTTGACTGCAAATTTTCCAAATTGTTATGCTCTGCTTTCCTTTTCTACCATCTGTTAGTTAAAAACACCTCACCCATGTATGTATTTCTTACAACTCCTTTTTTTGTTCCTTTGTTATTAAACATAAAACAAAGCTCCTCAAACATTTGAAGAGGGAAAAAAAGGAAATAAAATACATTTTTAAATTCAAGAACATAAATAATTGGTCTACACAAAGAAATTCCATTCTACCTCACATATAAAACAAGAATATAATATAATTAAAGGGATCAATCAGTTAACATTAAAGAGCTTTTCAAAATTAAAAATTCATTTCTGAAAATAAATGAAGAAATATGCCTAAGAGTAGAAAAGCAAAGCAGAGGAAATCTCCAAGAAAGCAGAAGAAAAAGGCAGAAATTGAAAATAGGGAAGAGAATAGACACTAAGGATTAAACATCTAATTAAAGATGTTTAATTAAAATCTGCTTAAAGAGAAAAAACATGAAGAGTGGAAAACAGAAGAGGGTACATTATTTTATAAACATTACAGAAGAATGTTCTAGAGCTAAATTACTAAGTCTTTTTATTGTGAAGTTCCAACCATTATTCAGCAAATGGGATGGAGGCAACACATCCTTAAATATATTTCTTTGAAAAAATGAGAAAATAGGAACATTGTATACAGTTCCAAAGAGGAAAAATAAAAGACATCTACAGAGGCATAAAAAAAAATCCACATTGGCCGGGCGCGGTGGCTCACAACTGTAATCCGGGCACTTTGAGAGGCTGAGGCGGGTGGATCACGAGGCAGGAGATCGAGACCATCCTGGCTAAAACGGTGAAACCCCGTCTCTACTAGAAATACAAAAATATTAGCTGGGCGTGATGGCGGGCGCCTGTAGTCCCAGCTACTCGGGAGACTGAGGCAGGAGAATGGCGTGAACCTGGGAGGCGGAGCTTGCAGTGAGCCGAGATCGTGCCACTGCACTCCAGCCTGGGCAACAGAGCGAGATTCTGTCTCAAAAAAAAAAAAAAAAAAAAAAAAAAAATCCACATTGTCATCAAGATTTTCAACAACAAGAACCGGAACTAAGAGTCAATTAAAGGAGCTTTTCAAATTTCTGGAGACAAATGATTGTAACTTAGAATTCCATAGTAAGTCTTGCTGTTATGCACGAATAAAGGCAAATCACAGGTATTTTGTGTATGTAATGAATGAAATAGTGGGTTCTTTACATGTCTTTTATTAGGAAATCCTCTAGAAGGTGAATTTGGGTAGAAAGTTGAGTGAAAATTTAGGAACTGAAATACTTGGGAGTTACAAAATAATGAATAGACATAATCAATAACGTACCCCAAAGTAACAATAAGACTATTTTGGGAAAAAAAATGAAAGGAGGGTGAGAATGGCATCATAAGTGACCAAAGCCCTACATAGTTGTAGGAAGAAGGCAATACATTAGTAAAATTGAAAACTCTAAAAACATGATGTAAATGCTATTAAGACATACTAAAGTACATATCAGAAGAAATATTTAAAATAATAAAAACTTGTTTAACAGAGAAATAAAACTGGAGATAGAGAAAAGTATGGTAAGAAACTGTTACTTTTCATTAAAAGTCACTTTGTATCACTTTAACATTATTGCATATCAATATTATATTTTTAATATGCTACAATATTATACTCTTAAAATCCTCACTCATATATAAAGAAATGTATAAAACAATCCAAAAAAAGTTTATTTGTAATTATTTTCTGAATTCATATACAAATATGGATAAGGGGATTTGTAGGCCTTCAAATACAGGAGCAAAACCACTTTCGGCATAAGCCTTCCTTAGCAGGAGATACACATATAGCTTTTATTATCTATCTATCTATCTATCTATCTATCTATCTATCTACCTATCATCTAACATAAACCTATCATCTAACATAAATATTGATCTATCATTTATCTACCTATATATCATTTATTTTTGCCATCCTCTATTCTTCCAAATTCACCTTCCTTTCTTTTCTGTATCTCACTCTCCCTCCATTCTATTAAAACTTGCAATTCAATATGAGAGCCTTAGGAAGCCAATACCTCTTCTACAACCACGACAAAGAGAATGGAAACTCCTGTGATTTCCCTTGTTGTGGAAATAGGGATGATGTAAGAGCAGCAACAGAGGGTGGGAGTGTCAAAGCAATTAAGCAGCAGAGGCAATAATAGTTAATTAATGTCATTAATGGCAAAGTAATAACAGCCATTTAATAACACTTGATTACTAATAGTTAATGTCAAAAAAGCACGGGGCACTTTACAACTAAAATCTTATTTAATTCTAAGGATAAGGTCTCAAGGATTACTCTCTCTGTTTTCCAGATAAGTGCACTAGGGTTTATGAATGTTAAGATAAAACTCCTATTAAATGAAAGAACTTAAATTTGATTCCAAATTTGTTGGAATCCAAAGATTATAGCCTTTCCTCCACACTGAAATGTTAAAAACAAAGCAAAGCACTTACATTTCTGGTTTTATTTCCCAGTAAGATTTTTATTTGTTGATTTCTCTTAAGGCTTAACCTGGGAACTTATTAAAAGATCAAAATATGCCAAAACATGGCAAAAACAGCTCTTGAGTCACTGTTGTCAATACTGGCTTTACATGCTGATCCCAGTTTAAATTCTTTGCTATTACCCTCCAAGTAGATGTTTGCTCTTTTGTTCAATGAGGATCTAGGCCTGACCACCTTACTTCTCTAATTTCATTTGTTTAGGCTGGTAATGTAAACATTCCTCAGGGATGAACATCAATGTATATTGCTGGGAAAGCAAAAATGACATGCAGAGTAAATATCAGCAGAAATAATAAGATTAGTAAAAAGTCAATAAGAGATGCTGAGATAGGGAAGCCATATTTAGAGATTAGATGCCCCTGAGGAAGCAAAGCAAACAGACATAAATATGGATGTGACTGATAAGTGGTGGAAGGTCAAAGTGGAATAAAATATCAGTGTGATACTCACTGCTCTCCTACCCTCTATCATGGGAAACATGACACTAAGTTGACTTTATTTTTCCAAGTTTTTTTTTTCTATTCTCAGCCATATCTACTTCTTTTTTTCAAATAATAAAAAGAACAATTTAAAAAATGTAAAAATATTGTAAATGTCAAGATTATATTAAGATCCATTTCAATTTTGAAAAAATATGGGATCGTGACAATATGATTTCTTTATATGTGAAATTAGTTCCTAAGAAAGTTTTGTGAGATAGTTGTCTGACCATTTAAAATTAGGTCACATCAATTACTATAACATGATGAAGTTAATGGTAGCACCTAGTTCTAAATTTCAGGTTTTGCAATAAGCTATAAATTGTTCAGTTGTTAAAGTACTGAGTTGTTCCATTCATATATATATATAAGCATCCATGCACACACATATCCATGCGGGTTTATTTAAAATATTGGATACCAATTAAACAACATAAAAGGGAAGGAGATTGTAATTTAATATCTAGCTCTTCTGTACAGTATGCTCGTTCACTTTCATATTCCCTCTGTGAATGCAAATCATGTACAGGCCAATACTCAGCTCTGAAGAAATTTTTGAAAATATATGAAAATTATTTAAACTTTAGATATATAAAATATATCACAAATTTAGAAAAGTTTCTCTAAAATGAATTCAGCTCAAAATGATATAGCATAAAGTGAATACCACCTAGACACAAAGTCTAGAAAAATAATACTTCACAGTCTCAAAATTCTTCATTATTTTCTTTCCAACCAATACCCTTCCTTGCCACAAGGATTACCAGTGATCTGACCTCTGCATTTTTTTTTTAAACTTTCATTTTAAGTTCAGGAGTACAAGTGAAAGTTTGTTACATAGGCAAACTTGTGTCATGGGGGTTTGTTGTATAGATTATTTCTTCACTTGGGTATTAAGCCTAGTATCCATTAGTTATTTTTCCTGGTCCTCTTCCTCCTCTCACCCTCCTCCCTCAGAAAGTGTGCAGTGTGTCTTGTTCCCCTCTTTGTGTCCATGTGTTCTCATCCTGTAGCTCCCACTTACAAGTGAGAACATGCGCTATTAGGTTTTCTGTTCCTGTGTTAGTTTGCTAAGCATAATGGCCTTCAGCTCCACCCATGTCCCTGCAAAGCATATGATCTTGTTCTTTTTTATGGCTGTATGGTATTCCATGGTGTATATTGACCTCTGCATTTTTATATAATTAAGTAGAAAATACTCACCATCATTTTTTATGCTATGACCTCCTAAGGATTTAACCTTAAGTAATACAGGATAGTCTTAGATATTGTGAATTTTATAACAATGCACTATTTTGTATCTGATTCCTTTTTTGATTAATGTTTTGTGTATGAGAACTTTCCAAGTGTTAGGTGTAGCTGTAGATTAATTTTAGTTTTACACACTATCACATTTTATGAATATGCCATTCTAAGTTTGGTGGACATTTTAGTTGTTTTGAGTTTTTTGCTATTATGGTGATACTATGCTCTTATGACACATTCCTGTACATATATTTCAATGAACATAAGCAGACATTTTCAATGGATATATACCTATTCGTATACAGACATGCATGCCCTAAAATTTAGTTTATAATGCCTGATAGATTTTAATACTTCCATTAGTAATTCAAGAGTGTTATTGCAAATTGAGTCATTATTCAATAAATAGAATATCCTTTCATGGTTATTATTCAAAACACTAAACATCACTTACATTAAAATCATTTTTCACCCCAAGTTTGAGATGCTTTCCTCTGGTGCTTTGGCTCTGTGGTTATGCACTCTCTGGTTTGACAAGTGTCCAAAATCAGTGGCCCTGTGAGATGACTTGTTCACTGTGCTTCTTCTCTAGGAGGACTGTACTATTTAACTTCATCTTTAAATTTGTAATTAATGTCTTTGTGTCTTATAAAGGAAATTTCAGATACCATTTTGAAGAAACGACTTGCCCTAAAACTTTGACATTGTTCTACTTTGGAATGGTCTACTTTATGTAAAACTTGATTATCCATCCAGCATTAGAAGAACATGTGATTATTTTTCAGATAAAAATGAAAAATTGTCATTGTGTTACCGCCATTATATCAAATATGTGCCTGTGATACATCTGTGGTCTGTGCCTTTGGAACATAGATATCATTTTATTTTCAAGGTTCTATGTAGGGCATCAAATTATGACATAAGTTTCATTAACACCATACCGCAAATTACTTTAGATAGCGTGGCATAACAGCCTTACAGCACATGGATTAGAGAAATGTCACATGCAAATGCAAGTACAGTGTTACGTAAATGTTGATGAAAACAATGTTTTAAAATAAAGAAAATAAACAAAATTGGAGAATGGGTAAACATACCAGATCACACAATTCTGAAGGCTCCCTGTAAGCAGAAGAAAAAAATAACATGAAACCAAACTGGATTATCAAACTGTAACTAAACTCAAGCAAGATAATTAAGATTGTTTTAATCATTAATGTCAGTGGAAGGTACAGTGAAATATTCCAAATCCACACAGTAATGAATATACCATGCTGAATTTTCCAGAATCCATCAACTAAGTTTAAAATGATCAGGGAATGAAATGACAAGTATGTTTGTTACAGAGGTCCTAAATTTTAGGCCCATACAAGAGAGAATGGACTTTGTGCAAACAACTTGCACATTTAGATTCCAATTTAGTCCTAAAATCTACAAGGAATCTTCATTATTCGTAGGGCAACCTTTTTTACCATAAAGGATGACACCGACTTGGACTAGTATTAAAGATGTTAGAACTTTCCACATTATCTGAGGAAAGAATAGATTATGACTTAGAGGTAGAACCAGTTCTCTGAACTCTCCTTGTCTTTCTGGAATCACACAACTATATGCCTTGATGAATCACTTCTACTGCTTTACTCAGAGGTAACCTGTGGAGGAACCTGAAGATATTAAATACATATTAAAGATTCCATTGATTTTATATAATCA
The DNA here is from genome assembly GCF_000001405.40 of Homo sapiens. NCBI lineage: Eukaryota > Metazoa > Chordata > Mammalia > Primates > Hominidae > Homo > Homo sapiens. Next base: position 48,913,583 of record NC_000006.12, on the reverse strand, counting down.
AAAGAACAGCAGAGAGCTCATCACTCAAAGTTGACAGAAATAGGTTGTACTATTTTAATGAACTGTGATTGAAAGTTTTCCTACAGGATATCTGTTCTCTTGGAGAAGTTGAATGTAATGTCCTATGATGTTTTCAGATATGATGTATTTGATAGGAATCTGTTAAGAAAAGTTATGTTTAGTGTGGGATATGGGCAATGGGCAGCAATGAGTATAAAAGATGGTAATTAATATTTATAAAAATATTCCTTTTGCCAACTGCTTTGCTTTTATTATGTAACCTATTTCCCCAAACAATCCTATAACTTATAAATAAGCATCATTTTAGATAAAGCAGTAGGGAACCTGGTGAAAATAAAAAATAAAATGCCTAAGGAAACATATCTTACAAACTGGGGAGATAAGATTTAAATTTAGGATTTTTAGCCCCCTAAGTCAATAATCCTTCTTCTACAACACGTTAGTTCCGCAGAGAAATGACACTTTTACTTTCATAGTAAAAATTTTCTCTATGAGGCAAACATCATTATTTATTAAAATAAAAGGTCATGAAAAATTAACTTTTGGGGAGGGCAAAATGGGCATATATATTTTAATACTCCTCAGTGAGACAAATGATTTAATTGTCTTTCTTATTAGGAAGAATGGCATATATGTTGAAATAAACAAGAAATCAATGAAACAGCTGATAGAAAATAAGGCATATAGTCCCTGGTTAATCCCTGGTTTGTCTTTCCCTTTAATGGATTATATATTTCCCAAAACTTATTTTGCATCTTTGTGCAAAATTGGAGAAAAGGCACTAGGGCCAGTCAAGGCGCTCAGAAGCACTGATGTAAACCATTCCCATTCATCTGTGGAGTGGCCACATGAGACAATGGGGGCTGAAAAGCAGAGGAATGAAGATTCTCACCTAATAGCTTACTGTTACGTAATACATAAAATTGAACTAGCTATTATACTTATCTTCTTATTTCTGGATCTCTCAATTACTGTCTTTTGAAAATAAGTTTATTTGCCTATCCTGTGGCCTAACTTATAAGTCTTCTATCTGACTTTATACTGGCACAGTCTTCCAAAACTCAGAATTGTTTTTGAAAGTCAAAATTGTTTTGTATTTGCCTAAGTGAATGGCTTTATTTCTCACTTGATTATCACTGCAGTTGAATTGATTTTGCACATAGAGGTAATCTTAAGGATGACATAAGGATCAATGAGACTAAAAATGCTTTGAAGGTCTTTGAGGAAGTCAGTTGTAGACTTGCTAAATGCTATTTGTCTAGTTTTTTAAAATAGGCCAGTAAATATATTCTTACAAATGAAAAGATATAATCAATATTATATTTGCTTTCAGTGTTGCAAAGATCCTCTATAATAATCAACTGATATTTTAAATGACTTGCATATGGTCAGCATGACACAAAAATATATAAGATGCAAACTTTAAATATGGAAAGTGTTATGCAGCTACAATATGGAATTAATACCAAATACAATATGGAATTAATACCAAAAATAAATAAATATCTCTATTTATGTGAAAACCAAGAAATGATCTTAGAAAAGGAAGAGTCATAGAAAGAAGGTTAAAAGAGAAGACAGATTAAAGGTCTGAACTATAACAATTCTAGAAAAAAAATCTAAGAGTGCTCTAGGTAAATACCGTGATGAAATTGTATATATTTAAAGATCCTATTGACCATAATAATATACATGTATTATATATAAGTAAATATGCACTAATAACATGCATATAAAAGCCACACTGTAGCTCTTCTATTCCCAACTCCAGTTATAAAGAAATCTCATTTCAGAATGTCAAAGTCTATCACTGGCTTAAAAATAAGCCAGATCTCTTAAAAATAAGCTAGATTCTTCAATCTAACCACTACCAGAACCTACTCCTCTGTTTCAGGGCTTCTCATCTTAGTCATCAGTCACAGCTACCGGAGCTAAACTCATTCGCTTGCATATCTGGCAAAGGGAAGTCAGCAACCTTTGATTATTTTTTTTCTGACAGTTTTTCTTTTCTTTTAATGTCAGCGCAATGATTATACTACATAACTACATTTTTTCAGGCAATATTTAGTTGTTTCTGTAGAACTCCACAGTGTTATGACCTATTTATTCTTGTCTGGGTTAGGCCTAACGAACTGTCTTTTTTCATCAGCATTTTCTATTCCTTAGAGTCACAGAAACACTTGTCACTTATGAAAATATAGCAGAGACATGACACCTCTATGCATCAATAATATACTATTAAATAAGGAGCACACATTGGCTAAAACTGAATAATAAGGGGGCACACACACATACACACATACCCCACACATGCATACATACACATACCCACATACATACATATATATTATAAGGCATACAGCATATACACACACATATTTTTGAAGCATAAAATAGAATCTGAAGAATTTATTTAATCCCAGCAGCCAATTGCAGTGCATATAGTAATGTGTCCCATGCCAACATCTGGAAAAAACAGGTTAAATAGTGTCAAGATTATGATTATATCATATGAATTTCAATATACAGAATGCCTACAAGTGTGTGCCTAAATGTGTCTGACACATTTAAAAGATGATGTGTTGTAAGTCACGGTTATGTATAATATATAGCTTCTGTAGTTGTGACAGAACATTGCAAATAAAAGGAAATTTATTGATAAGCAATTTTGGTTACTTTTATTCATATGAGTAACCACATAAAAATGCTATAGCATTTTTATCATCTACAGAATTTGTTTGCAATATTACCTACTTGATCCAGGCAGAGCTGTGAGGTAGCAAGAGTACATATTATTTTATTATTATTATTATTATTATTATTACACTTTAAGTTCTGAAATACATGTGCAGAATGTGCAGGTTTGTTACGTAGGTATACATGTGCCATGGTGGTTTACTACACCAATCAACTTGTCATCTACCCTAGGTATTTCTCTTAATGCAATCCCTCCCCTAGACCTTTACCCCCTGATAGGCCCTCATGTGTGATGTTCCCTTCCCTGTGTCCACGTATTCTCACATTCTTTTAAGGAAATTCAAAGCTATTGTGTGACTTGATCAAGGTTTATGCAGTAGGTATAAAATAGAGTCAATACTTGAATGTGGATCTGATTTCGTTGTATTAGTTTCCTAGGGCTGCCAGAACAAAGTACCTCAAATGAGGTGGCTTAAACAACAGAAATGTATTGTCTCATAGTCCTGGAGGCCAAAAGTCCAAAATCAAAGTGCCAGCAGGGTTGGTTCAGAGAATCTATGCCATGTCTCTCTCCTAGCTTTTCGTGGTTTTCTGACAATCTATGGTGTTCCTTGGCCTGTAGTTGCTTCACTCTTGTCTCTGTCTTCATGTTCACATGGCATTCTTCCTGTGTGTGTATGTTTCCAAATTTCTTCTTTTTAAAGGACATTAATCATATTTGATTTGGGGCCCACTTCATTTTAACAAAACTAATTACATCTGCAACTATCCTATTTCTAAATGATGTCACATTTTGAGGTACTAGGGTGTTACAACTTCAACATATGAATTTTGGGAGGACACAATTTTACCCATAACAGACAGGAATTCAGGCTTCTTTCCATCACATCAGTCATATGCTCTCTTGGACATCTCCATACCGACTAGGAAAACAAGCAATACAAAATATAATAGAACGGAGATGCAAGCAACAAAACAACCAAAACAATCAAGCAGCTTCTGTAGGCAGGTTGTTTTTGTATAAAGGGGTCTGGATGTGTTTCTCTACATAGGGAGAAATATTGCACTCAAATTATTTAATCTACCTCACCTTTGTAACAACCTACTACATGCAGCTAATTAAAACAACAACAGCAGCAGCAGCAGCAACCCTAATTGTGTCTGGAGTAACACATCCTGCATGTGGGAAGGAATATTAATTTTGACCATTAATAATATCCCCTTTATGGAGATCTTTACAGTATCAAATGCACTGCCATAGGGATTATCTCATTTCATTTCTACAGTTACAGAGGCAGAGGCAAGGCTCATGTTGTCCTCAGTGGAAAGTGAATGAATTCAGGCTCAGTGAAGCAAAAGTACCCTGATCCACACTAAAAAGACAACAGGAGCAGGGGATGAGGCTGAACTCTTCCATTTTTGTTGCCCAGTTCTAGATGCCTTTCACAAGACTCTGTAATATCTCTCTAGAAATTGGTTCAAATTCTGGGCTTCTCTTTCCTGTTCCCTTCAAATACCATGCTTTCAACTTCCATGTTCTTGCTTGTGTTTTTTTGTTTCCTAGATATATTCCTGTTCTATTCCTTTCACCTGCATAAATTCTTGTCTTCCAAGACCCAGATTCAAATTTCTGCTTTTTCCAAATGTCTCAGCCCATACTCATCACTTTCTTCTTAAAAACCAACTGTGTTTATACTTTGTAAAATGTAATGCTGGATTGATCACTGATTGTTCTGCTTGTTTCATATGTCAGTTTTCCTGCACACACATATGTATGCATTTTTTTCAGTACTGATTTGCCACATTCAGCGCTTGGCCCCAAAAACATCAAAAACAGACTTATTTGCTTATTAATTAATTTATGTTCTATCTCTTCAACATAATGTTTATTCATCATTGACCAGTCACAAAAATGTTAGTTTATAATAATTAAGGAAATGCTCCTGAGCTTTCATACAGATCTAATATTAACTCCACTAGTTTGTGCATATTTTATGTACTAACAAAGCTTGTATAAGAAGTTAATTTTATATACTGTTAATGAAACAAAATAATATCAGTCATCAGATGAAGTTAATATTTAATTTATTTCTTTTCTGAGGCAATAGAGCTTATTTTAGTAAAACCATCATATTCTATTTTGTTTTTATGTCCTCTTTTTGCTTCAATTATGTCAAATAATTTTCTTATTACTGTAGTCAGATAAGAAAATACAGTATATTCTAGGGTAAAGATACAGCCTCTGCTCATTAGATTCATAATTAAAATTAAACAAACAAGTATGCAGACAAACCCTTCTGGCTTCTATGTTAGCTATGGAACTGTGATTATTCACAGAAAATAGTACTGTATGCCATTTCAGCATCCTCCATGTATTATTTTTATGCAACATGTAGAGATATGAATGAGGACATTGAAGAAGGTGTCTGATACTTGGGGGGGTTTTGCTTACAGAAATGAATGATTACTGCTGCCATTTCATTTTTTGAATACGTTGAGCTTTAAGGCTGTATAATGTCCAGTGAGAGATTCCCAACTGGCATTTAAAAATATAACAATACAGACTATTCAGAAAAAAAAATATATTAAAGAGTCATAAAAGTATAGAAAACAGCTACTACAACTCACAATAGTCTTTAAGACAACATATAGAATAAGATTATTATGAAAGTTGAACAGTGGGAAGGGGATTCATGCTAAAAACTCTCAATAAGCTAGGTATTGATGGACATATCTCAAAATAATAACAGCTATGTATGACAAACCCACAGCCAATATCATACTGAATGGGCAAAAGCTGGAAGCATTCCCTTGGAAAACTGGCACAAGACAAGGATGCCCTCTCTCACCACTCCTATTCAACATAGGATTGGAAGTTCTTGCCTGGGTAATCAGGTAAGAGAAAGAAATAAAGGGTATTTCAAATAGGAAGAGAGGAAGTCAAATTGTCTCTGTTTGCAGATGACATGATTGTATATTTAGAAAACCCTATCGTCTCAGCCCAAAATATCCTTAAGGTGATAAGCAACTTCAGTAAAGTCTCAGGATACAAAATCAATGTGCAAAAATCACAAGTATTCCTATACACTAATAATAGACAAACACAGAGCCAAATCATGAGTGAACTCCCATTCACAGTTGCATCAAAGAGAATAAAATACCTAGGAATCCACCTCACAAGGGATGTGGATGTGAAGGACCTCTTCAAGGAGAACTACAAACCACTGCTCAAGGAAATAAGAGAGGACACAAACAAATGGAAAAAAATCCATGCTCATGGATAGGAAGACTTCATTTCATGAAAATGGCCATTTATGGATTCATTGCTATCCTCATCAAGCTACCATGGACTTTCTTCACAGAATTAGAAAAAACTACTTTAAATTTCATATGGAACCAAAAAAGAGCCCATACAGCCAAGACAATCCTAAGCAAAAAGAACAAAGCTGGAGGCATCACGCTACCTGACTTCAAACTAGCCTACTACAAGGCTATAGTAGCCAAAGCAACATGGTACCGGTACCAAAACAGATATATATAGACCAGTGGAATAGAACAGAGGCCTCAGAAATAACGCCACACATCTACAACCATCTGATATTTGACAAACCTGACAAAAACAAGCAATGGGAAAAGGATTCCCAATTTAATAAACAATGTTGGGAAAACGGGCTAGCCATATGCAGAAAACTGAAACTGGACCCCTTCCTTACACCTTATAAAAAAATTAACTCAAGATGGATTAAAGACTTAAACATAAGACCTAAAACTACAAAAACCCTAGAAGAAAACCTAGGCAATACCATTTGGGGCACAGGCATAGGCAAAGACTTCATGACTAAAACACCAAAAGCAATGGAACAAAAGCCAAAATTGATAAATGGGATCTAATCAAACTAAAGGGCTTTTGCACAGCAAAAGAAACTATCATCAGAGTGAACAGGCAACCTACAGAGTGGGAGGAAATTTTTGCAATCTATCCATCTGACAAAAGGCTAATATCCAGAATCTATAAAGAACTTAAACAAATTTACAAGAAGAAAACAAACAACCTCATCAAAAAGTGGGTGAAGGATAAGAACAGACACTTCTCAAAAGAAGACATTTATGCGGCCAACACACATATGAAAAAATGCTCATCACCACTGATCATTAGAGAAATGCAAATCAAAGCCACAATGAGATGCCATCTCACGCCAGTTAGAATGGCGATCATTAAAAAGTGAGGAAACAACAGATGCTGAAGAGGATGTGGAGAAATAGGAATGCTTTTACACTGTTGGTGGGAGTGTACATTAGTTCAACCATTGTGGAAGACAATGTGGTGATTCCTCAAGGATCTAGAACCAGAAATACCATTTGACACAGCAATCCCATTACTGGGATTATATACCCAGTAATATACCCAAAGTATATACCCAAAGTATACACCCAGTATATACCCAAAGGATTATAAATCATTCTACTATAAAGACACATGCACATGTATGTTTTTTGCAGCGCTATTCACAATAGCAAAGACTTAGAACCAACCCAAATGCCCATCAATGATGGGCTGGATAAAGAAAATGTGGCACATATACACCAAGGAATACTATGCAACCGTAAAAAAGGATGAGTTCATGTCCTTTGCAGGGACATAGATGAAGCTGGAAACCATCATTCTCAGCAAAATAACACAGGAACAGAAAACCTTACACCACATGTTCTCACTTATAATTGGGAGTTGGACAATGAGAACACATGGACACAGGGAGGGGAACATCACACACCCGGGCCTGTTGGGGGGTGGGAGGCTAGGGGAGGGATAGCATTAGGAGAAATACCTAATGTAGATGATGGGTTGAAGGGTGCAGCAAACCACCATGGCAGGTGTATACCTATGTAACAAATCTCCATGTTCTTCACATGTATCCCAAAACATAAAGTAAAATTTAAAAAAAAAAAAAGTGGGAAGGGGAAAAAGAGCCAAAAAAATTATTTGCTTAAAATTAGCTGTTTCAATAATGATAAAATAAACAAGGGAGTACAGTTATCTCTTTGAGATACCGATTTTATTTCCTTTGGATGTATACCCAGAAGTGGAGTTGATGGATTATAAGGTACTTCTATTTTTAATTTTTTGAGGACCTTTCATATTGCTTTCCATGATGGCTGTCCCTATTTACATTCTCACTAACATTGTACAAGGGGTCCCTTTTCTTCACATCCTTGCCAACACTTTTTATCTTTTGTCTTTTTAATAATAGCCATTCTAACAGTTGTGAGTGAGGTCTCATTGTGGTTTTGATTTACATTTCCTTGATGATTAGTGAAGTTCAGCACCTTTTAATATGCCTGTTGTTTATCTGTATGCCTTCTTCTGAGAAATATCTATATTCAATGCCTTTGAATATTTTTTAATGAGGTTACGTGTTTTTCTCTTTCTTATTGAATTGTAGGAGTCTTATATACTAGCCCCTTTTCTGATAATAAGGTTTGCAAATATTTTCTTCCATTCCATAGCTTGCCTTTTTACTCTTGATTCCTTTTCTGTGCAGAAGCTTTATAGTGATGTAATCCCAATTGTCTATTACAGCTTTTGTTGCCTGTGCTTTTGGTATCTTATCCAAAAAATCATTACCCAGACCAGTGTCAAGAAGCTTTAACTCTCTGTTTTTTACTAGTAATTTCATGGTTTCAGGTCTTGAGTTTTAGTCTTTAATCCATTTTGAGTTGATTTTTTTTATATGGTGTGTGGTAAAGGTCCAGTTTCATTTTTCTTCATGTGGCTATCCATTTTTGACAACATGGGTTAACCTGAAAACATTATGCAGAAAGATTAATACTGTATGACCTGACTTGCTTTTGGTGTCTAGAATAGCCAGACTCAGAGAAACAGAGTACAATGGTGGTTACCAGGAGTTGGAAGTAAAGGGAAATGGGGTGATGTTGGTGAACATGTACTAAGTTTCAGTTATACAAGGTAAGTTCTGAAAATCCAATGTACAATAATATTACTATAGTTAGTAATATTGTATTGCATAATTGAAATTTGCTGCTGGGTGTAGTGGCTTATGCCTGTAATCCCAGCACTTTGGGAGGCCGAGGCGGGCAGATCACCTGAGGTCGGGAGTTCAAGACCAGCCTGATCAACATGGAGAAACCCAGTCTCTACTAAAAATACAAAACTAGCCAGGTGTGGTGGCACATGCCTGTAATCCCAACTACTCAGTAGGCTGAGGCAGGAGACTCACTTGAACCCGGGAGGCAGAGGTTGCAGTGAGCCGAGATCGCGCCATTGCACTCCAGCCTGGGCAACAAGAGCAAAACTCCATCTCAAAAAAAAAAAAAAGAAAAAGAAATTTGCTAAGAAGGGAGCTCTTAAGTAATCCCACTATGAAAGAAGAAGAAGAAAGAGGAGAAGAAGAAGTAGAAGGGGAAAGAGAATGATAAGAAAAAGACAAGGGAAAGAAAATGGTAACTACTTGAGATGATGGTTATGTTAAGTAGCTTGATTGTGGTGAATTTTCACAGTGTATATGTGTAGTACATCAGCGGTTTGTTCACCTTAAATATATATAATTACAAATTGTCAGCTAAACTTAAATAAAGCTGGGAATAATAAAATAAAATTAGCTATTTGAGAAAACAGAGAAAGTGTTGCAACTAGAATGACACTTAGAAAAAAATGGAGGTAACTTCCCCTGTTTTTCTTTGTGATATGTGAGTGACTTGAATTGGAATAAGGATCCAGAGAGTAGAGAGAGTATAGGAAACACTGTGGTGTACCCTCAGGTACCAAAAGTGTTGGCTGCTGAAACTCAAAACTGAGTCTTTCTTCATAATTTGTGGTTGGCTGAAGGGAGTTTACTTGCCAAGAATACATTCATTTTGGGGGCAGCCCATATTCCATGATCGTTTAATAAGGGGGAGAAATTTAGCCCCTTACCTCAATTGAGACAACTTTGAAGGGCCACCTCAACTCTAGAGTATCTACAAAATAAGCTGAAGCTTTGTGGCCACTGCATTGCCACTCTTTAACCCTGCTTGCTTCACTTTTCATACATATTAATCTCAGAGAAGGACTTTAAAAACTTCCTAAATACATTTTCCAGAGTTTCAAAGTCTTTTCCTGGGAAACTCAAAATATGACAGACAGACATACAAACACACACACACACACACACACACACACACGAGAAAAATAACAATTGGCAAAATACTACAAGATTAGAAGCACAGACAGAATAATTAGCTAATCGGAAGGATATATACTTCTTTTGCAACTTAAGTAAAAAGACATGAGAATGTGAGGATAAATAAATAATGCAATAGAAAATTGAAGATGTTTTTGCCTGAGACGCTTAATTTATTTTTCCTATGCAGTTAACAGTCAGTTCTTTTGCTAAGATAGACGAGGATATATTTGAAGTTTGAGGAAAGCTATAATTTTTTAATATGGTAGGTATTCAGAATGGAAAATGAAGTTGTCCCGGACAGGTAGAATGATTGCTTAGATTAATGCTGAGGGAAAGACCGAAGTTGGAAAGAACATAGTATTAAAAAGAGCAAAGATGTCAAATATTGGCCTAGTTATTTCACATGAATTAATTAATCTGAGTTTCAGTCTCACCAGAACATTTTGAATAGTAATACCATGCCCTTGTTACTTCATAGAATTGTTTTGATGATTAATCAAATATTGTATGTTAAAGTAAATTTCAATAAATTATAAAAGCTGAATGTATATTAACAGTTATTTTAGTTAATGTAAAGAAATAACAACTAGATTTGGCAAAGAAATTGAACATGCAGAGAATTTGAAAGTGTAAAACCTTAACCACATTAATATAAAAACTTCAAAGACCTGTGCTCTGAAGTGTAACTCATTGCCCATTACATAAAACCTCTACCCAGTCATTCGAATTTTAAGTTGTAAGCAAGCTTTGGAAGGATGATTTATAACTGGCTACCTTTGAAAAGGGTACCCAAAGGTAGATCAATGCACTCTAATAGAACCACTTATAACTGTACTAAGTGCCATGATTATCCTTGTTATTTGATTCTATTCTTCCTCAGATCTCAGGATTCAAGTCATCTTTGATTGGTCTGTCTTGTCTTGGCCTGAGGCACAGCTATGTAAGTCAATGGAGTCTGAATATTTTTCTCTACTTGTCTTGGTCATTTTATGATCATTGATCCCATTATCCCTCCATTCCATTTGCTCTCTGAAAACCCCCCATGCTGCACAGTTCTGAGCTGCAGGGATACAGTCAGCATACTGGCTCCCTTTGTTACTGACCTGGGAGTTTTTCTCAATACAGTGGAAAATTTTAAAAATCTCCTATTTGAAAAAGGTGAAATAAGTTGTAAAAAGGCTTGTAGCTTGGCTTACAGCTATAGACTAATTATATTTCCAAATGCAGAGAAAGGAAGCATAATTAATAGTGCACTGCAAATCTGCATTGGGCCAAGTTTTTTTAAAAAACCATTGCTTTTTAAAACCAAAACAGCATGGTACTGGTACCAAAACAGAGATATAGATCAATGGAACAGAACAGAGCCCTCAGAAATAACGCCACATATCTACAACCATCTGATCTTTGACAAACCTGAGAAAAACAAGCAATGGGGAAAGGATTCCCTATTTAATAAATGCTGCTGGGAAAACTGGCTAGCCATATGTAGAAAGCTGAAACTGGATCCCTTCCTTACACCTTATACAAAAATCAATTCAAGATGGATTAAAGATTTAAACGTTAGACCTAAAACCATAAAAACCCTAGAAGAAAACCTAGGCATTACCATTCAGGACATAGGTATGGGCAAGGACTTCATGTCCAAAACACCAAAAGCAATGGCAACAAAAGCCAAAATTGACAAATGGGATCTAATTAAACTAAAGAGCTTCTGCACAGCAAAAGAAACTACCATCAGAGTGAACAGGCAACCTACAACATGGGAGAAAATTTTCGCAACCTACTCATCTGACAAAGGGCTAATATCCAGAATCTACAATGAACTCAAACAAATTTACAAGAAAAAAACAAACAACCCCATCAAAAAGTGGGCGAAGGACATGAACAGACACTTCTCAAAAGAAGACATTTATGCAGCCAAAAAACACATGAAGAAATGCTCATCATCACTGGCCATCAGAGAAATGCAAATCAAAACCACTATGAGATATCATCTCACACCAGTTAGAATGGCAATCATTAAAAAGTCAGGAAACAACAGGTGCTGGAGAGGATGTGGAGAAATAGGAACACTTTTGCACTGTTGGTGGGACTGTAAACTAGTTCAACCATTGTGGAAGTCAGTGTGGCGATTCCTCAGGGATCTAGAACTAGAAATACCATTTGACCCAGCCATCCCATTACTGGGTATATACCCAAAGGACTATAAATCATGCTGCTATAAAGACACATGCACACATATGTTTATTGCAGCACTATTCACAATAGCAAAGACTTGGAACCAACCCAAATGTCCAACAATGATAGACTGGATTAAGAAAATGTGGCACATATACACCATGGAATACTATGCAGCCATAAAAAATGATGAGTTCATATCCTTTGTAGGGACATGGATGAAATTGGAAACCATCATTCTCAGTAAACTATCGCAAGAACAAAAAACCAAACACCGCATATTCTCACTCATAGGTGGGAATTGAACAATGAGATCACATGGACGCAGGAAGGGGAATATCACACTCTGGGGACTGTGGTGGGGTCGGGGGAGGGGGGAGGGATAGCATTGGGAGATATACCTAATGCTAGATGACACATTAGTGGGTGCAGCGCACCAGCATGGCACATGTATACATATGTAACTAACCTGCACAATGTGCACATGTACCCTAAAACTTAGAGTATAATAAAAAAAAAAAAAAAAGAAAGAAAAATAAAAAGCCATTGCATTAGTCAGAGCTCTCCAAAGAAACAGAATATGTATAGAATTGTAAGCATATGTATCAAATTGCCACAGTTATGGTGCTGTCTTACAGGAGATATATAGATATATCTATACTCAGGAAGATATTTATTATAAAGTAGTAACTCATGCAATTATGGAGTCCGAGAAGCTTCACAGTATGAAACCTAGGGGTCCAGGAAAATTGGTGACGCAGATTGAAGGCCTGATAAATGGAGATCTAATGGTATAGATTCCAGTCTAGGTCTGAAATCCTGAGAACCAGGAGTGTTGTGGGCAGGAGAAGATCAATGTTCAGCTCAAGGAGTCAGGCAGAGTGAGTTTGACCTCTCTCAGCTTTTTGTTCTGCTTAGGTCTTTAATGAATTTGATGGTGCCTACCTGCATTGTGGAAAGCCACCTGCTTTATTTGGTGTGTTGATTTAAATGCTATTTTTTTTTTCGGAAACACCCTCATAAACACACTCAGCAATAATGTAAACCAGTTATCTGAGTATCCTATGGCTCAGTCTAGTTGACACACATCATTAACTGTTACCACTATGCACACCTCTGTTCACATGCACACAAAATCTCACACACTCTTTTTAGTCCCTTGCATGCTGGAAAATGTAAAATAGGCAAATTTTAGTTTTTAATACCAATTTTTCAAAGATAAGCTGATTTCGATAACTTTTATTTCTATTTTTCTCTCCTTTCTCCAGGAAGCCAGTCCTCGTCTCATTTAAACATGTGTACTCACCAATGTCAAAGACCTCTCAAATGATGTGTAATAGTAACCAGAGAAGGGAAAGAGTTAGTAATCTTTGGAAGATTTATTAAAAGAAGGGTAAGATTATTTAGATTCTGGCTAAAATAAATGAATTAGCAAATGCATGTGTGTGTGCGTGCGTGTGTGTGTGTGTGTGTGTGTGTTTTACCTGAATATCATTACTTCCTGAATATCCTTACTTATTACTTAATGTAGCTAAAATAAAATATTTCATAATTTCTAGGGTTGAAGCAATGTTCATTAAAAGCTGACATTTGTTCACAAACCCATGAGTAGTAAAGCTTAAAGTATTTCTGAGGAAAGTCAAGGTTGCTATGTAACTCTATAAGAGTATGATATTAGGTTTGTTTTTATTATAAGTTAATAATGCACTGAGTTCAGAAATGCTAGGTAAATAGCATTTTGTTATAAAGTTAAAGAAATATATGTTTTTACATATGCCACCAAATAGTGCTTAATAATTATTGATGTAATTATATACTGCAATAGTTAGGCAGTCAGGAAAAGTGTGGAAGGGCCTATGATACTGTGAGATGGCAAAAGCAGAAGGAAATAAAAGGTGCTGTTAGAATCCAGGATAAAGTGTATGAGGAATAGTGAGAACCACAAGTCCACGATCTGCGTTTAAGCTGGTGAAGAATCAGAGCCCTACTCATGTGTGAGTTCCCTAAGTGGCCATCTCATCTGTGAGTCGATTTCTGACAATCCAGTCAAAATTCATCACTCTTTAATTTGCCCCCTACTAAACTTTTTAATACCTCAATTCAGTTCCCTCTGTATTTGATTCTGTGTATTTACTGTTGCACATGCCTCTAATCAATTAATGAAAGGCAGCACAGCATAGCACGAAAGAGCATGGAATATAGATCAGTGTGCCTGGGTTTCTATCCTGGTTCTAAATGCTGATAAGCCCTGTGTTTTGAACAAGTCAGTTAATCATCAAATCCCTCAATCCCATTCTCTGCAAAATGGGGATATTAAGAGTATCTACCACGTGTGAGTGTTTTGAGAATTAAACATGTTATTTTATGAGAAGTATGTAGAATAGCGTTTGGCACACTACAGTGTGTACTTGCTATTATTATATTAGATTGAGTATTTGAAATTTTCTACTCTTCTCAACCAGACAAACTGGGTATGTTATTTGATCATTCAAAGAAAACTGGCATAGGCTTATAAAAAAATAAAATCAATAATAATATTATAGCCTATCTGCATTATTTTAACTCTACTCTATCACTAATAGATCATCTGCCAAGAAAAAAGCAGATTTGAGAGGGTATTTTTCAGCTCATCTTCTAAATAAGAGCTATAGAAAAATAAGACTACATAAATTAAAATTGCTTTTTTTGGTGTTCAATTTGCTTCTCATCTGGGGCTGCAGAAACTAGAGTATATCTTCAGACACTCACATAAAACATGAAACAAAACAATTCATTTAAATCATGACAGCAATAGAGCCCCCAAACTGGCCAAATTACTCGTTCTAAATGCAAAATATTTATTGAAGTATAATTTATTAAGTGTCTCGTGTGTGTCAAGAACTTTGCCAGGAAATGAGTTTAATTTTCATGAAAATTAAAAATTAAGAAATAATTGTTTTCTTCTTTCAAATTTGATAGAAGAAAACCACATTGGGATGGCTGACATAATTACAGAAACAAAAGGTGATAGAAGTCTGAAAAATAATTAAAAAATGATTAGAATGACAGAGTTCTAAACTACCAAGCATAGGCTAGAGAACTTGAGAGAAAGAAATGCTGGATAATTCTTAAAAACGAAGTGTGATTGGTTTCACTAAGCTAATTATTTGAGGCTGGACTTTGAAAAATTGCATGGATTTCAGTAGGTGATCAAACAGATGGAATTCCAGGATGCAGAGACAGTATCAACAAAGGTTCAGAATAGAAGTGCTCTGAAAGGAGCTGAAGAGAGGAGGTGTCACTGGAGTCACTGTGAAATTTTGAAAAATGCAGCTGAGATGGAATACGGCATGCTCTGAAAGCCTTGCTAAGACTTTCTTCCATTAGTAGTGAGGAACTACAGAAAACTTTTGAGAGCATGAGTTCAAGAATTTAGAGGGGATTCTGGAAATACAATTCTGGTGGCAGGGTGGGGATGGATTAGAAAAACACACACATCCGATTAAGAAAATGCAGTTAGAAGTCTGCTGTTAACATTATCCCAGAGAAGTATGAGAGCCTAGAGAAGACAGTAATAGTAGGAATAGGCTGAAATTTGGCCAGTTTGGGGGCTCTATTACTGACATTACTTAGATGTATTTCTTTGTTTCATGTGTTATGGGAGTGTCTGAAGATACATACTAGCCTCTATAGCCCCAGATGAGAAACAAACTGAATACCAGAAAACTAAGATTGATTTATGTAGTCTTATTTATTCTGTATATCCCTTATTTAGAAGATGGGCTGAAAAATATTCTAATAGCAGTAGGAGTAGACTGAAAGATTTGAGAAAGACTGATTTGAAATATAAAAGGGAAGTTCCAAGTGAGGAAGTGAGATAATCAAAGTTGTCTTTGAGGTTTTTTGTTTTCATCACAAGAAAGAAAATGATAACATTCATTAAGATGGGGAAGGCTGGAGGATGGAAATTTTAACGGGATGAGGATAATAATTTTACTTTTAGGAAGTTAGATTTTGGTTTGCAAGGGAAGATAATGACAGAGTAATCAAAAGACAGTTGGTTTTGTGAGTTTAGGGCTCAGTAAAGAGGGTGGAGCAGGAGAAAGGGAGCCAAAGTCTCCTACTGGTGTTGTTTGAAGCCATGGAAGTAAACAGGACTACCAAGAGCTGGAGGAGCGAGGAGAAGACATATCTTTACTGTTGATTGTATTCAACACATGATACTAGACTCGTCAGCTATATTATTTAACGAAGGCCAAGGACACATATGTAAACACAAAATAAAGCAGCATTCATTGCATGAATATAAAATAGCAATGTCAAATGTTGCACAGATATTGGGTAGAGTGAAGACCTGACACGTTGGAATTGCCAATTAGGATGTTTGTTCTGAAATTATTTGATTGATTCTAGAAACAATTAGTAGTTGTAAGAACATCAACTGATTATTTTATTTTACGTCCTTCTTGTTGTCCCTGTCAGTATGATCTCAGGAAGTTGACTGAAGAACTACAAATCCCATCCAATATTGGAAATGTACCATTTAACTCATGTCTGCATCGGTCTGACACTGATTATCTCTCCTGTGCAAAGTCAGGTGACTGGGATTCCAACTGTTCGTATTAATTGCTGCTGTTACAGAGTCTGTTACAAGTGATACTAGAGCAGAAGTAAATCCAAGCAGGGCGTAAGAGAAAAGGGAGTTGGATCTTACTTAATATTTAGCCTAGTATTTTTTTCCTTTAAATGCATAGGGAGCAGTAATAGTCCTGTGCCTTTAAAAATTATTTCCCTCTCGTTCCTTTCTGAAATTTTATATCTGTCATAAAGCTTATGCCATATTAGAAAAGACACTTGGTGGCTAGTGCCTCTCTGTGCATGGCTGCTAGTTATTATCTTTTTGTCTACATAATTGGCAAAAGTTAAAGTGCCATTGATTAATCTGCGGTATTCTTTGTTAAAAGGGGATACGAAGTGGATGATTGACAATATACACAGTCTCCTTGTCTTCATCAAGAAGTGAAGATGTAGGAGGAGAAACGGTACAAATTTTTGCCTCTCCAAGGAATAAACCAAAAAATTAAAGAACAGAAAGTAAAGGACAAAAAACCAAGCAAATAAAAGCCCTAAAAGTGATGATGTATTGTTAAATTTAATCACTAAAAAACAAACAAAAACATTTGATTTTTAGCATTTAACAATTTCTGTGGTGCAAATATTCCCACCAAGGCCAATTTCAAGCTATCAAGAGTTAAACAAACTGTTGGCAAAATATCTAAGCATTTAACAATTAGGTCCAGCAAGCCATGCAAGCTAGCTTCAGCACGCTGTGTGTGTCCGTGTGTGTGTGATTAGGTCAGAGAACTTGATGTAATTTTGGTAGAATATTTACCATTTTTAAGAATCGTTATTGTCATTTTTATGTTTCTTTCTTGCATTTATGAGTACACTGAAAATAACTATCAGTATCTCAACAATCTTTGTTTTATCCCTTGTTTTTAACCTCTTAGAGATAATGGTGGTCCTTCTCTGCTCCCAAGTCAAGAGGATGGACTTTGACGGCTAAAGTTTATGTTTCTTTCCTTCCCAAAACACATGAAAATAGATCCTCTAAATTTTTTATTTCCCAGTAAAGCTACAGTATGCTCTTATTTATCCTCTGTTTTAGGCTCAATCAGGGCATTTGTCATTTTGGGTCAAATATTTTAGTGTACTTTAAGCTAAAAGAAATGTGTGTGGTCCCAAACCCCAGAATTAACCTTGCAATTCAGAAGTAAAGATACAACTAAAAAATTAAGAAAAAAATCAAAGAATTGCACCTTTGAATTTTTTTTGAATGACAGCCTAAGAATGAATTAATAAGTACTATAATCTTTTAATTGTAGTAAAAAAATCTGCTGTCAAATATAACTATGTACAAGAACAATGATTACATAAAAACATTTTAACGAGTGTCTTAAACTACAATTACAATGAGGTGTTATTATTTTCAAAATTTGATTTTTTTATCAAGCAACATTTCACAAAATGTGGTGCAAAGGGATATTGGATTAATCTTTTTTGTTAACATTCATATCACAGGCTTTATTATTAATACAGTGTATTATTTTATTACTGCTAATGGTTCACTGGCTTTCTTAATAGTGTATAAAAATGATTTTATATAATCATCAGTTGCTACACATTTGGGATTTCAGAAGTGCTTCTCTTATTTGAAATTTTGCTGAGCTACAAAAATATGCATATAATTAAAGCTTTTGTGGTTTTCCTCATTCAAACTTCCACTCAGCTTAATTAAGACACTGCTAGCATTAAACTGGTACTCTGTAATATCCTTTTACAACTCTCCTAGTTTTAGTTTCTACTGATGTATGTATCACACATAATTACTTAAATAGAGATAATACCATATCCGGAGGGTAAAGTTTCTTGGTAATATAAACTGTATCATGTTTTAACAACTTGTGATTTAAGAACTAATTATTTTTGGCTCTTTTTTCTTTAGTGAATGAATGTGGTCACCACACATACAGTGAAATATTTAAAAGCAAATGTATAAATGATGTCTGTAAGAGTGCTTCTTGTTAGCCATGGTTTGATCAGTGTTATTTCAGTGAATGAGTGTGGTGACCACACTGTAGTGCATTTATAAAAGATGTTTCAAAGAGTGTTATACTAAATGGTAAAAAATTGAAGCTTTTCCTCTATGATTAGGAACATGTCAAGGATACCCTCTACTTACTACGTCTATTCACATAGTATTGCAATTCCTAGCCAAAGCAATTAGGCAAGACAAAGAAATAAAAAGCATCCAGATTGGAAAGGAAGAAGTTAAATTGCTCCTGTTTACAAATGACGTAATCTTACACATGAAAAACCTAAAACCCTAAAGAACCTAAAAACCCTAAAGAACCCATTACGAACTTTTGGAAAAACTAAATTAACTCAAGAAAATTTCAGGATACAAAATCAACATATAAAAATCAGCTGCATTTCTGTGTACTACTACTGGAGTATCAGAAAAAGAATTCAAGAAAACAATCCCATTTACAATTCCATCAAAAATATGAATAAATTTAACTGAAGAGAGGAAAGACTTGTAAATTGAAAACTATAAACATTATTGAAAAAAATTGAAGACATAAATAAATGGAAAGATATTTTGTGTTCATGAATAAGTTCTTTTGATAGACACTGCAACTGTTGAGTGTCTGATGATGTCTTGGGGAGATGAAAAAGAAGTTAACACACACGGGGCATTTTTTCCTATGTCTCATTTTAAAGCTCTCAGAACTAAGTAGACAGATTGGATAGTGGAGACATTGAATTACAATCAGAAATTGTACCTTCCCTCATCTTCACACAACCAGGATTTTGTGGAGCACTTGATGAGCCATAGATAAAGAAATCTCTGCTAAATTCTAACCAAATTACAGGCAAATTCTATCTGTCACTCCCTAATCTCAACTCAGACTAATGGCAAAAATAGCTCTCAGAATATTGCCTTGTCACATTATGATGGGAACCCATTAATAATAAAAATTTTCATGGCTTATTTGCTTTAAGGAGTAATTATTTAAAAAGCTAATCTTGATTAGTTTAAATATATATCTTTATTGCTAGTTTGTTTTGTGTGTGTGTCTTTCTGTTTGTCTATGTGTATACACAACTTTCAGTTTTCTGAAATCATTTACCTTTTCTAAATAATCAGAATAATCTTAACCTCTGTTTGGTTTGGTAAATAGGAAGGTAATATGATATACTCTGAAAGTCTCATTATGCAACACTTCTGAATGTCTTGAACTTCATGTCAAAAAGCTAAGGAATTAAGATTCTTGTCTTTCATAAATGTTCTTAGATTTGGCACAATATGACAAATGATAGATTTGTTATTAAGAAATGTGTGCCATTGACACAACCCATCTCTTTTTAAATAGTGAGATATTACTTGAATTGCTTGGAAATTTATTAAACACATTACTGACCAACTAAGAATAGCCATGATGCATTTGTTAAATATTACGTAAAGACAAGGCAAATAAAGTTGAAATTACCTAGTGGGAAAACAGGATACCTTTAAGCAGCCAGAGTTTCTCACCAATATTTGCTTTGAATAATTTATTTTCCTGCTATCATCCATAATATAAAATTGTATTCAAATTCTGCAAAATGTTTTGCCTTTAATAAAAGCAGTGCAAAAATCACAGAGCTTTATAAGGGGTAAGTACTTGATGTTGGTTTAATGACTCACTTCACAAGATTATATAGTCTCACCTGGTAATTCTTCTAACACATCCGTCTTATAAGGTAAAATATCTTTTGCAGCACAGCACACTTATAATCTTGTTCAATATACAGTTATTTCTATCCAAGAATAGGATTACCTCAAGTCAATTTGTTTGTATTCCAGGTACACATTGTGTATATCATACAATATCTTCTTACTTAACTTGGCATGGGTTTTGAAGATAAAATATCTTGATGAGCATCTGTATTTTTATTATTAAACAGTTACTTATTTCTCTTCCTTTTTTTTTTCTGGGGACATCTCACTTCTATCTCTGGCATCTTGTTGATTCTCTCTCTCTCTCTCTCACACACATACACCCCCCCCCCCCCCACACACACACTTACTTCTTGGTTCCTTGGAAAAACTGCATCTTGCTCCTGTAACTATACTCTATTACTGTCCATGTCTCTTGAATTATTGTACATTATACTTTGCAATTGTCCCTGATTCTGGTCACCTTTAATCTCTTAGTTGTCCTAACATGGACATTTCATTTCTGAAAGCACTTTATGCATCATTCAGTGACTAGAATATAGAAATTCTTCAGTAAATGTTGTTATTGCTACTGTTACTACTATTACTATTTTTATACTTAGGTTTTTCTTTGGTTTTTCTCTTGCTTTAATGCTCTCACTATCACTAATTCCTCATTTTGTAGATTTTGCCAAGATACTTCAAAGGAGTTCTAAAATTTCCTATGTCTTCCCAACACACACACACATATTCACACGCATAATCAGAAACACACATTTAAGTGCACATAACTGTTTCATTATGTTCTATGCCCTTAATATGATTACATCAGGTTAACAGGTTTCTGACCAAATTAGATTACCATTTTAAAATTAACCAATCACGTAATTCCATATACAACAATAATCTCAAAGTAAATGTTGTGAAAATTTTATCATTCGAAGCTCTCTTCATCCAGCTACCACTCTTCATCTGTCACCCAATTTTAACCACAGTTAGTTAAGGTCTTACGTAGAATAATTCACGGTTTATCTTATCTATCTGCTTGCCTACCTATCTATCTAATATAAAAACCACACCATGTCAGGTAGGTTATGTGATTCACTTGACTTGTAAAAATTAAATTTAATGATTTTAGTTTAAGACTTTACATCTTGACAGTAGACACCTTCGATTAAGGTTTGTAGATTTCCAATTGTGTCCTGGGCATGTGGCTCGGATTTTTAATCACCTGAAGTGCTTTCAGGGTATGGAGAGTAACATTCCCTACAATTTGTACTTTGTTTAATGTATTAACTTTTTCAACATTTAATATTACTATTTGCTATGGTCTAAATTTCTTGTCCCTGGAAAATTTATATGGGACTTTATTCCCAGTAGTATTAAGATGTAGGACCTTGAGGTGGAGATTAGGTTTTGAGGGCAGAATCCTCAAGAATGGGATTTGTGCTCTATAAAAGAGGCTCAAGAAAGTTAGTTTGCCCCTTTCACCACATGAGAACAAAGAAGGCAACATCTGTGAGGAAGAGGCCCTTACCAGACATCAAATCTGCTGGTGCCTTAATCTTGGACTTCCCGGCCTCCACAAGTATGAACAATAAATATGTATTGTTTATGAGTTACCCAGTCTAAGAAATTTTGTAATAGCAGCCTGAACTTGCAAGAACATAACTCATAAATAAATCTTATACAGCGTACATTTTATACATCAAGCACTATTCAATATTTAAAAATTTTTTGGAAGCGTAGTCAAATACTGATTGCACAATAGAATTATACAAGAAATCTTTTTTAAAAATTCCAAAGCCCTATTCTTGAGCTCATAAATTCTTATTTAATTTTTTGTGGATTAGTATTTTCACAACTTTCCCAAATGATTCCAACATGCAGTTAAAACTGAGAATGGTTACTCTAAATATTTTAATAAATTTTGGGTTTTGCTTAACTTTCTTAAAATTTCATGCATTTTTCAGTGATTCTAAAATATATTATGATTCATTTATTTAAAACAGTGCCAAATAATTACATTATTAATTATTGATAATTGTTAATTAATTTTATTATTTTATACTTATTTTATGTTTTAGAATTACAGAACATTTATTTACATAACTACCTGGGTTAGAGAAATATTAATAGCTCTAAAAGGAAAAGACATTTTCTCAACCCAGTCAACATTATACTCTCTGGATTAATGATAGACTGACTATTGATTGGGACAATCAATTTATTGGAAGACAACTTCAAGATGATTAACATCCATGTAAATCTTTATTGTTCTGGGCTTCTGAACGTGAAGTTACATCAGTGGATTGTTCTAACCTAACTATCCATCTCTCACTCCCATGTCCATCTGTCTCTTCCCAGTGTGTACCTTGTGCATTTACATTAGTTATGTTTTAGGTGCATCTCATTCCAGTTAATAGGTCATCCAGATGTTTATATTTCAGAAGTTAAATAGTTGAGGCCACACAACCAGCCGTTGTCATGGAACACTTACTGAGCCACACCATTAGACTCATTTTCTATATGGATGATTTCCTATACTGGTTCTGATTAGTACCACTTATTTTGGCCACAGCTTTTCTGTTTTCCAATTTTTAATCTTTTTTGGACTCTTTAATAGTTATATATATATATATATATATATATATATATATATATATATATACAGTTACAGACATAGAGACAAATATGTATCTATCCATGATAAAACTACTAAAACAGAATATGTATATATGTAAATATTCCATTACTTATTAAAAATTGTAATTATTTGACAAAGACTAATTACAATGATACGGTTAGGCTTTGTGTCCCCACCCAAATCTCATCTTGAATTGTAATCCCCATAATCTCCACAGATCCAGAAGACCAGGTGAAAGTAATTGAATCATGGGGGCAGTTCCCCCATGTTGTTCTCCTGATAGTGTGAGTTCTCATGAGATCTGATGGTTTTATAAGCATCTGACATTTCCCCTGCTTCAACTCACTCCGTCCTGTCACCCTGTGAAGAAGGTACCTGCTTCTCCTTTGCCTTCCACCATGATTGTGAGTTTCCTGAGGCTTCCCCAGGCATGCAGAACTGTGAGTCAATTAAACCCTTTTCCTTTATAATTTACCCAGTCTTGGGTATTCTTCATAGCAGTGTGAGAATGGACAAATACACACAAACTACTACTTCAATCTTCCTTTTTTATCAGTAACTTTTGAAATAATTTATAATAACTCATGCTTCTTTTCTCTATCATTAGGTTTTAGAATTCTTGCAGACTTTACTGGCAATGGAGATGTTTATTGCACATTTAGACATCAGGTAAAAAATGTTCATAAACAAAAGAAATAATATTTAATATGGTAAATGGTCAATAGGAAACATGTTATTTAAAAAAAAACCTCAGAGGAGGAGTAAAATAAATAAACAGTCTTCAAAAATTATTGAAAACAAAACAAATATTTCATGTTACAATATTTCCGTATATGGAAAAATCAGTTCTCATGAACCTGGCAGATTACTGCATGGCCAGAATGGGTTCCCACTTGTAGTACTCCGGCATCATTTTCAAGTTGACTCATTTCTCAATCATAGTTACATTGATAAGTTTAACTTGGTTGAAAACAACAGCATAAAATGACTAAGACACCAGGAGGCTCTATTATGAGGAGACAAGGTAGTAAAAACAATGTACAAATGTCTTCTAATACATCTTGGGCAGAGTCAATTATGTCTTATGAAATCATTATGTCTTATGAAATCACCAAGAAGGTAATGAAAGCAGGTTTAAGAAATCTGAATCAAGCTAAAAGCAGTAAAAAGCAACAAGTAAATGAAATTAACTTCAAGTCATTGGCCCATGGCAACTTCTAACTTACTGCTTTGCTCTAGGTTCATAAAAGAAAAAATTTTTAAAAATTGCAACATTAAAATAGTTGGCAGTTTTACTGCAGTTTAGGGGCAAAGTTCTCAATATGATTTACAAATTAATTAAATAAATGCTTGGCAACACTAACAGAATATTATAGGGGAAGTCAGAAAAGATTGTTATATAAGCCAGTTTATTTCTTTTAGAGAGGCTATTGAAAACACATTTAAAATGTGTTTTCCAACATTTAAAAAATAGCAATAAATTAAAGTCAGAAAAAACTTACCAGTCTCTGAATTTACTGCATCATTATAATGTATGCTATGAATCTCTAAAGCAGTTTTGTCCAATGGAACTTTTTGAGATGACAAAATATTTCATATCTGCACTTGACCAATGCAGTCACCACTAGTCATGTGTAGCTATTGAACAATAAAATGCAACTAAAGTGACTGATAAACTGAAAATTTAATTTTACTTTATATCAATTAATTTTAAATAGCCATATGTGACTAAGGGTTACTGTATTAGACAATTCTGAAGCCTAAGTTGGATTTTATGAATATTTGAGCTTTTCAAAATAAACTGAGTCTGTTTGCTGTGATGAATTAATGTAGTTAAAAAACAACAAAATATATTCAGTGAATCTGAGAAATTCAATGTGGAAGTATATTAAGCTAATTTTACTGCATCGGAATACTTTAAAATGCAGGACAGCCAGGTTCACATTAGGTGGCAAGGTGACCTTCAATGGAGCCCTAGGCAAATCGTTAAACAAATGAAATATTGTATATGTGTTGATATGGTTTGGATTTGTGTCTCCACCCAAATCTCATGTTAAACTGTAATCCCCAGTGTCAGAGGTGGAGCCTGGTGGGAGGTGATTGGATCAGAGGGATGGATTTCCCCCTTGCTGTTCTCATGATAGTGAGTAAGCTTTCATGAGATCTGATTGTTTAAAAGTGTATGGCACCTCTCCCTTCACTCTCTTCCTCCTGTTCCTGCCATGTAAGATGTGCCTGCTTCCCCTTTGCCTTTTGCCATGATCATAAGTTTCCTGAGGCCTCCCCAGCCATACTTCCTGTACACCCTGTGGAACTATGAGCCAATTAAACAAGACTGAGCTGTGCTGTAAGGATAAAGTAGATGACAGAGTTCAAGGATCTCATGTGAAATAAAGAATGTGTGTCAAAGCTTTTTATGCATTGAAGTGCAATTTAGCTATTGGATTAAATAAATCTATTATTACATTCAGTTTCCCCTGTTTATTTTTAGTTTTTAAGTGTGACTACTAGAACATTTAAGACTACTTATAATACTCGCATGGGTAGCTCACATTACATTTCTTTTTTAATTATCATTAATTTTTTGTTATTTTTCACTTTTATTTTAAGTTCAGGGGTACATACGCCGGTTTGTTATATCGGTAAACTTGTGTCATGGGGGTTTGTTGTACAGATTATTTCATCATCCAGGTATTAAGCTTAGTACTCATTAGCTATTTTTCCTGACCTCCTCCCTGCTTCTACCCTCCACCCTTCAATAGGCCCCAGTGTATGTTCTTCCCTTCTATGTGTCCATGTGTTTTCATCACTTAGCTCCCACTTGTGAGAACATGCAGAATTTGGTTTTTTGTTCCTGTGTTAGTTTGCTAAGGAAAGTCTGTCAGACAGCACTGGCACAGAGGCTGTGTGTAAAACAGTGCTTATCTGCCTCTGCTGGAAGTTTGCTTAGGATCTGTTCTGTGCAGTGTCTCTGAAGATAGATAGAATTGCTACTTGCATTCCCTTCCCTGCCCAGAGCGAAAATACTGTCTCATCAGTTTTAAAGAGAGTTGCTTTTCCTTCTATGTATACACTACACACTTTTTTCCAACATTTTTTTGCATGCATTATTTTATTTCGTTTTTAGAATAATCTTAAGATACAGGCACAGAGTGTTTCAAGAATCCTGAGGAAGAACCCTGAGGATAAATTCCCTGGATAGTTAGGCAAAATGTTATGTAATAAATGACATTTAAACTGCATCATGGAAAATAGGTAGGAATCTGAGAGGCTAAAGAAAGGAAGGATATTCACATAGAGGAAGACTTCATTATTGTGAATTTGAAATATATCTTTCATAGCAGGTGGAAAAAGACCACCTAATATTTTTCAGCTTATGAAGAAAATGATCAAAAGTGTATTTTGATAGGTTGGAATTGGTTTTGACTGACGATGGGGGCCTGAGACCAGATTAGAAAGTCTGATGAGAAATATGGGAAAGGAAATATTTGAACAAGGCCCTCCTCAGTGTTCCCTGGCCTGATCCAGTTGTTAACCCTTGGCTCCCTCTCATGATGTCCTGCCATGTTTGAAGTGTCTGGTCCCTTTTATAAAAACTCAACACTGGCATACCTTGTAGATACTGTAGGTTCAGTTCCAGACCATGACAATACAACAAACATTATAACAAGGCAAGTCACACATTTTTTTTTTGTTTCCAAATGCATATAAAAGTTATGTTTATACCCTACTGTAGTCTATTAAGTGTGCAATAGCATTATGTCTAAACAACACATCTTACTTTAAAAATACCTTATTGCTAAAAAATGTTGGCATAGAGATACAAAGTAGGCACATGCTGTTGAAAAAAATGGTACTGATGGACTTGCTCAATGCATGATGGCACATACCTTCAATTAAAAAAAAAGTATCTCTAAAGTGAGTAAAATGAAGCACAATAAAAATACCTGTTACTACGTTACCTCAGATTGTTTGTATTGTGTCTATATAGAACATATTTCCTTTTTCACCCCTGCCCAAGTTCTTGCCCTCTCATTTGTAACCATTGCTTTAATAGTATTTCATATTGATAAGAACTATTTTGAATTGGCTCTGGTGAGGAATTTTAAGGAAGTATGTGAATGTGAAGCAAGAATGTGAATACTGTGATATTCAGATTTTGTTGTGAATTTTGAGTACAACTGCATAACCAATTTTTTTGTTCCATTGATAGGGCAATTATATACTGTGTTATGAATTATGCCTCTACCACTTAGTATATGTGTGATCTAATTAGCAAATTATGTAATATTTCTATATCTGTTTCCTTATCTAAAAAGTAAGAGTAACAGCAACTTATCTGATATGATTTTGTAAGTATCATATATCCATATGGTACTTGAAATACGCCTGGCATATAAAGTGTTCAATATAAGTTAGCTAATTTTTTTCTTTATCATTATTATTATACTGAAAATAGAACTTATTCCCACAGAAGTAAAAATGGAGAACAGATATTTAAGAAACAGAAACGTATATGTGTTTAATCAATCATCTTATACATTATGCAACAAAACTTCCAATGCATGAAAGCATGACCATAAAATGTAGGGTTGTTCTCTATGTTATATGGTTCACTAGCTGTCTCATTACTTGTGCTCTATGCCCCAAAATGTGTTAGTACTTTTAACTTAGTTTGAGACCACAGGCTTCATTCTCAATTCTAATAATTCCTCTCATGACTGTTTATTATATATCATACAAGGCACTGCTACCTGACAGTGTATACTTCTTTAGTAAAAACAGTCCACACTTTCAAATTTTTGTCATAATGTTTTCATTACTAAACATCCAAAATGCCACATAGCTTTCATTTAACCACTTTTTTTCAACCACTATTTTCCTTAACTTTTTGCCACAGGATATACACTTCCTGTGCTTCTTGTTCTAGTTCTGCTTCCTTTTGCTATCACTACTCTTCATGCAGCATTTAGCCGCCAGACCTCTTCTTCGCACACCCTTTCCATTGGAAACTTCACTCATGCTTGTAGCTTTGAATATTATTTGTTATGTAGATGATTCCCAAATATTTATTTTCATGCATTTCTTCTATCTATCCTAAATGCCAATTATTTTACCTACTGCCCATTTTGAGTTTTACTTTCAGAACAAAGTCAATGCATAACTAAACTCATTCTTTTGTTTACAAAACTAGTTTCATGAGTAATTTACTTCCTGAATGGTAATATCATTCTCCAAATCATGTGGATTCAAAACTACAGTTTATAGTATAGTGTTTAAGAGCTGTCTTTGAAATTAGATGAATTGCAATTTTCCCTGGCACTACCATTTGACAACTTTGGGGCATTTGGAAAATCTCTAATATTTTAATCTCAATTTTCTCATCTATAAAAACACCTACATGTGCAGAGCCTAAATGAAGATTAAATTATATATTACTTGTAAAGTGATTAACACCAGTTATATAGCAGAAGCTTGCTAAGTGTCTCTGCTATTTCTAGGGCTATCTTCGTAGAATCAGCCACATCGCTGGTCTTCAGTGCATATGGATGTGGTAAATGAATGACTCCGTCCATTGTCCATCTCCTACAGGACTCTTTCACTGTGTCATAATTCATAAAACACATCAGGTCTGGCTTTTCTTTGTATCCCTGACTTTATGTCGCCAGCTCACTTACTGTATTATATCTATTATGAGGATCTACAGTCAGAGTATGTCCCCCCTAGTTCCTTAGCTGAAGACAGTAGGGCCAGGAATTATACACACCACTGCAACCTTACATTTTTCTGACCTTGCTGCACCATTTGAAGTTTCATGTCGTTAACAACTTGAATGATCTTTCCTGGGCAATGAATATAATTACAATGTTGACACTGAAAGGAACTGGATGGAAAAAAATACAAGTCTTTAATCTTCTATGGAGCCTATAATGCTCAAGCTGGCATAACATTAGTGCTTTATGCTGTGTTTAAATCTGTGAGTTACAACAACTGTGGAGGACCTGATGGCTTTACAAAATTCTGATCTAGGAAATCAGCCCCTCAGTTATCTCAACTCTTTGCAGTCTGTACCTTTTTCCTAATACCTCAGAATTCCTTGTTCCCAAATAAACTTTTGAATAAGATTTGTTTTCATACCTGCCCACCACTTTTCGTTTTCACTTTCTCAGCATGTTTAGGTACAAGCCCTTATATATCTGAATCATAGTTATAGCCTGCCATCTTCTTACCTTCATTCTCCAAAAAGATCCATTATGAATCAAAACAGAAAAACCTCTGGGGATTAAAGGCAAATCAACTCTGTTTCTGTTGATTTTTAACATCTTTGAGTTAACTCTAACCTGTATACCTCAAGTTTTTGCCTTACTATTTGTTAAAATTACCATTCTGCTCCAGAAAATCTGGTTTACCCATGATTTCTAAATATGCTGCTACTGCCTAGAACATGCCACTCTTATCATTACCCGTTTAAATTCCACTCATTCTACAATGTCTGTCAACCCATAGCATCTTCACTAAATGGCATAGCCCACAGAAGTTTCTCTCATCTCTAAACTTATTTGCTACTTATAACTGCTTTATATTTCAGAGGAATTATTATTTCTCTAAGGATGAGGACTGTGCATGACACTGTTTACAGTTTCTAACACATAGTAGATACTTGATAAGTGCAGGATATTTTGGCAGATGTTATTAGTATTAGTGTTAGAATAATCAATCAAGGAAATGAGTAAAGCACATTTAATAACATGTATAATTAAAAACAGCTTTGAATCATATTTGTATTCAGAGGACTTCTTTCTGCATAGAATCACAACAGTACAGTTAGAATTGTATTCCTTGTTCAAGCTTAATCATTGAAAACTTTCATTCTCACATGTGTGAATGTTGGGTATTTGGGTAGCTGTGTGAATTAAGTTAAAGAATATGCACTAAGCAAGTTGTGGAATGTAATAATGCTAAATAGTTATTTATTACTACAAAGATAATGAAGATAATTATGATGTTGATACTGAAAGGCATTAGAAGGAAAAACATTTAATCTTCCGTGGAGCCTATAGTGTTTAGGCAAGCATAACATTAGTAATACATGTTGTTTAAATCCTTGATTTACAATGCTTACCAAGAAACTGGTGACTGCCCAAATCTCCATGATCCACCTTAGAAGTCATCCCCACTGAAACATTGTTTTT
The DNA here is from genome assembly GCF_000001405.40 of Homo sapiens. Taxonomy (NCBI): domain Eukaryota; kingdom Metazoa; phylum Chordata; class Mammalia; order Primates; family Hominidae; genus Homo; species Homo sapiens. The sequence continues at coordinate 48,883,424 of NC_000006.12, read as the reverse complement.
ATGTTACCAGCTGAGAAGTATTATGTGAAAGTGTTTTCTTCTTAGTCTTAAAAGTGGTACCTCTGACATTTATATCAGGGCTCTAAGGAGTTTCAATGTGTGCAACAGGAAATAACTCTCCAAAACCTCTTGCAACAGGAAATAACTCTCTGAAACCTCTAAGTCCCCCAACAGTGTTCCAGTATCAGAAAGTATGTAAATAAGTCATGCACCCCACACCTTCCTATTTAAAAAGTTGATTTTTAAACTTCTAATTTTTATTGAGTAAGTTGCCATTCCTCCCCACTTTTCTGTACATGAAGTCAAGAGACTGGTCTCTCCGTGGGCTGCCAGAGTAGATGAAGATCATTGAGAAACTTCTATAATCTTCTTAAAGAGATTGTTTATTTATTAAGCAAACACATATTAAGCACTTACTAGAAAAGGTACACTTTGAAGCACTGAAGAAAAATTACAAAACAGATATAAACACACACACAAAAAAAACGAAAAATAATTAGCCCCTATGAAGCTTATGTTGCAGTGGGGTGGTTGTGGAAGGAATACATGAAATAGATAAGTAAATATAAACATATTAGAAATTGATCCATATTGTGAGAAAAAAACAACTGAAAAGGAGAAGGAATGGGAGAGGGCTTTTGCAACTTTAAGGAGTATGGGAAGGCTTCAGAGAGAAGGAATCATTTGAACAATAGCTTAGATGATGTGAGTCTCCTATATATTTAGAAAGGAGTAATCTAGGCAGAGAGGATAAAAAAGGCAAACACCATGAAGTGGGATTTTTGTCTGAAATGTTCAAAAACCTCACGGACCTCTATATTTAGGTAAAATTTGGATACAGAGGAATATGTAAGTGGGAAAGTATTTAATACTGGTTGTCTTTCATGGTATGTGATAGCTACTATATAGTGTTTACTCCAAATAATCCCCACGTAATATGTTTATAAAGAAGCTAGGACTTTGTTCAGTCGTAGAAAAATATGCTAAATATGCTAAAATATGCAAGGATATGTAAGCCACATAGAAACGGAATTTAGTCAGGGGTTCCTAGAAAAACTGAACCAACAGGATATCTATCTATCTATCTATCTATCTATCTATCTATCTATCTATCATCTAGCTAGCTAGCTAGCTAGATATGTTTCTATCTAGTCATCTTTTAAGAGGTTTATAGTAAGAAATTGCTCATGTGATGATGGCAGCTGGCAAGTGCCAACATCTGCAGGGTGAGTTAGCAAACTGATACCCAAGAGAGCCAATGGTGTAGTTTCAGTTTGAGTTAGAAGGGTTGAGAATCAGAAGAACCAATGGTTTTTGAAGGCTGTAAGGTGTGAAATCAAGGAAGAGTAAATACTTCAAGAAATTCAAGTCTAAGGCAGGAAAAATGCAGTTCAAAGGCCATCACGCAGGAAGAATTATCTCTTACCCAAAGAAAGGTCAGTCATTTTGTTCTATTGAAGACTTCAACTGATTGGGAGGACTATCCACATTAGGGAGGGCAATCTGCTTTATTTATTCTACCAATGGACATGTTGATCCTATCCAAAAACAATCTCATGGAAACACTCAGAATAAATTTGACCATGTATCTGGGTACCCAGTAACCCAGTCAACACATAAAATTACTCATCACTTGGATAAACAAGGTTGGATTCAGGCCTATGCAATTGAAATTCCTGTATTGCTTCCACAGAACCATTGCAACATTGACCATGTGGTAGAATCATTTGGGGAAACTTGGAAAAAAATATTCTGTTATTACTTCACCATAGATGCTCATGAGAGAGTTCCACTTTAGTCTATAAAGAACAACTTTATCATAGGTCAATCTTCCACCAAGAAAAACTAGAACACGTGCATAAGATTTTTTTTAATGTTTGAAGGCATTGGTTAGCTATCAATGCAAGTTAGAGGACTTCAAGGCTAAGATTCCTAGAGAAGGAAAAGTCAAAGGTGAAACCAATATTCTGTAAAGTTTTGCATCATGACATTTGCCAATTATTAACCCTGACAGTACATATTTTGGATAGAAAGCAGCAGACAAGAAGCTGAAAAGATGAGCACAGATTTATCTATTTCCAAAAGGCTAGGGCCTAATCTTAGAGTTCAGGACCTACCAAGCAGCAGGGGACCTAAGAGAATCAGGCGTTCCATTGGATCACTGAAGATATCTGCTGTATTAAAAATTAAATCAAAACATTTAAGAATGAGTTATTCAATAAATTGTTTAAAAGTAACTATAATAAACTGGTTACATGTTAACATAAATCATATATTTTTATGAAAATGCTTATATTTTCTCCAAACAAACAAAAAAAAAACTGCAGGCAGAAGACTGGTATTGTTTTATATTTTAAAAATATCTTCTGTATCTGGCTTAATAGAAGACAGCTGAATTCTTATATTTTCTTCTGTATTCTATTTTCTGTATATGCTATTTTGACTGAAGCATTGAAGAAGATTTGGCCTCAGGAAGATACAAATTTAGAATAGCAAAGACGATTTTAATATACTCTTCAGATAATTGTGGATTTTCTTTCGTATTACTCTCCAACAACTGAAAAGTTAAACTAATCTTTATGAATTGGTTAGTTTCTTACACATAGAATTTGAAACCTTATCAATGATTTTTTATATACTTTTAAATTAAAATCTCTGGAGCAATATTGAACATTGAATAGATTTTGTATCCATACACGATTTTGTAACATCATTCATTGGTCATTTGGAAAATATTTATTCCATTAGTTATGTATAATTTAAAATGCTGAGACATATCATTATACAATACCAATATGTCACATTCACTAATACCTTTAAACATCTCTTCAGTAAGGAAAATTTTAAATACTAAGAAACAATCAAGCTCATTGTGGAAGATACACCTTTTCCTACATTCTACTTTTTGGTTGAAAGCTCAAATTTTATAATTAGCAACAAGACTATCAGTTATTTACTTTGAAGTTAAAGACCTACTGCATTTACTGGCCAGGCATGGCGGCTCACACCTGTAATCCCAGCACTTTGGGAGGCCAAGGTGGGAGGATCACGAGGTCAGCAGCTCGAGATCATCCTGGCTAACATGGTGAAATCCGGTCTCTACTAAAAATACAAAAAAATTAGCCAGGCATGTTGGTGAATGCCTATAGTCCCAGCTACTCAGGAGGCTTGAGGAAGAAGAATGGCATGAACCTGGGAGGTGGAGCTTGCAGTGAGCTGAGATCGTGCCACTGCTCTCCAGCCTGGGTGACAGAGCAAGACTCCATCTCAAACAAACAAACAAACAAACAAACAAACAAAAACTTACCACATTCAATTATGGGAAACTATCTTCCAAATATCTAAGTGTGAATAATTATATTTTTCTGTCATGTTTTTCTTTCAGGTAAAAGTGGTATTCCATGAAAATTGACTAGATCAGCTGATGACTTAACTGCACAAATGTTTTCCTTGAGCTATCCATCTGACTCTGGAACACAGCAGAAGCATTATAAATGTACTTCCCATTTTGTCATACAGAACTTTAAAAAGATGTATACTCAAAGGTTGAGGGTAAACAGAAATAATTTTTACTAAATGACACACCATTACTTTTGCACTATCAGTACAAATGTCAACACAGTGAACCAGTGAAAAAGGCAAATCATATGTTAGTATTGCTATGAAAATTACTTTGACCTTGCAGGTCCACTAAATATGTGTTGGGGAAACCAGCCCCACACCTCCCGGCAGGTACCCTGAGTCCAGCAGAGACAAATGAATTAGAAAGAGACAGAGTAAGAGTTTAAAAGGTGGGTCCAGGGGACTGGAGCATGGGAGACTTGCTCATTGCCCAGAGCTCTTCTGCTCCACCTAATTTATTGGTTTACAAGCTCTTTGTTCTTAGGGCAGATATGAGGGGGAGGAAGGGATAAGGAAAAGGATTAATCAATGAAGGAGAACTCGTGAGTCATTCAATAAGATGTATAGCAGTGGCAGTTTCTGTGAATTTCCTTGAGCAAAGGTGTGTGTCTAAACTACTTAAGGACTTTAACTTATCGGGACTGAAATGGGTGGGAGCAGGTTTCAGGAGGAGCCAAGATGTTTGATTAGACTCCATTGCTTCAAGGGAGTGTTATCTCCCTGAGCAACCTGTGAAATGCCACTGAGTGGTTATGTTCTCGCGGCATAAAGACATGAAGATAATAAGGAGACTTTTCTCCTCAGAGGCCACCCATGGCTCCCCATGGGTGTCTCACACAGGGGAGACCAACTCATTTGGCACTCCAGAAATTCTTTCCCATATGTCCCCCTTTTTTACCTCTATTAATTTTTTTTAAATTAATAAATGCCATTGCTATCATGGCTCGTTCACGGTGTCTGGCTTCTCTCCCAAGGAGCCATCCACATCTGTAGACTAAGAACAAACAGCATAAACAGACACAAACCAAAATAAAATTTGCAATAGGATGATCCACCTACGGTTTTAATCCACTTTAAAGGATTGGTATTAGGAAGACCATCAGTGGCTCCAGCAAGAATATCAGCTCCAGGTAACAGGGTGAGATGAGCCTGAGATGCTTCAAAAAGTTGTTTTTTCAGTTTAGCAATATCTAGTGTTAAATTATCTTCTTTTCCTTGTAGGTGATGTCTAATTTTCTCCCAGTGGTGTTCAGTGACATCATAAGAGATAGGAGTAATACAAAAATCAGAAGTATTCCAATCACATATCATTTGAATTCTATGCTCCAAGCTCATAATCTGATCTCCCATCCAAATTACTGTTTGACGGAGATCATTAATTTGATTTTCCAGTTTTTGATCTATTTGGCTTTGGGATTTCCAAAGCTTAGAATAATTTTTCTGCCAACTATCCAAAAAGCCCGCAGTTTGAATACAAGAGTGCAAAGCAACACCAGCAGCAGCAGCACTAGCTGTGACAGCTATAAGGCCCATGATCACAGCTATTAAAGTAAATATGAATCTCTTTGATCTATTAAGTGTTCCTTTTAGTACTTCAGTGATGATATGTATGGCGGGAGAGCCTCCCAATGTCTATTGAGGGAAACAGGTATTCAAACTCCCACTCGGGCCCTAACCAGTAAAATGCTGTTATCTTTATTAAAGGTAGAATTAACGCAGGTAAAAAGATGACAGTTGAGGCACGATATGGTTTGAGAGTTAAGTAGGATATTAATTTTTCCCACTGCCAACATAAAAGGAGGTTTAACAGAACTCTGCAATGGGACTGTCCAATTAGAGGTCACGGCTACAACAAATAGAAGTTTTTTACTATGAGTCTCTGGTTTCTGTTTTTTTTGTTTGTTTGTTTGTTTGTTTGGTTTTTTTTTGAGACAGAGTCTCTCACTGTCACCCAGGCTGGAGTGCAGTAGTGCCATCTCAGCTCACTGCAAGCTCCGCCTCCCGGGTTCATGCCATTCTCCTGCCTCAGCCTCCCAAGTAGCTGGGAATGCAGGTGCCCACCACCATGCCCGGATAATTTTTTGCATTTTTGGTAAAGATGGGGTTTCACCCTGTTAGCCAGGGTGGTCTCGATCTCCTGACCTCGTGATCTGCCCGCTTCGGCCTCCCAAAGTGCTGGGATTACAGGCGTGAGTCACCGTGCCTGGCCTGGGTCTCTGTTTTATATTCTCCTTTCCAAATCCGAATTGGGGTTCCAGTCATCATTAATTTCCACAATTCTGGATGATGTTTTGGACTTATAATTGGATCAATCATTTCTGGGCTTGGAGGAGCCATACCGTTCTCCTCCCACTTAATAGGGTAATTTGTTTTAATTCTTCTATATAATTTTGGTGCGTTATCTGGGTAGTCATTTGCAAAAGAAGTCTCTACAATCTTCACTCTGTCCAGTACAATTTACTGCATAGTGTCCCCTAGGGGTCCAATCAATGATGATTCCATAGGAATTATTTTGCAGTACAGCAGCGCTGTTTGCAATACAATCTTCCCAGGTTAGCACCTCTAGCTTTTCAGACCATTTAGTGGCCTGCCTAGGGCAGGGCTTCTTATTAGGTTTAAATTTATTAATCTGGCAATGTGTCGTAACATAACCATGCTTAAGGCATTTAATAGTGTCCAAAGATTGAAATGTTGTTCCACTGATTACATGAATAGAGGCTTTTGATACATTATGTGCAGGGACATAAACCATCCAACTTTGTTTATCATAATTTAAACATCCTGCTGCTGGCCCCAGGCAGATGGGAGGAAAGCAATAACCAATGGAAACATTTATTAACATTCCTTCCTCCTGTGGATGAGTAGGACTTCGGTTATCTTTTGGTCCAGGCATCCAGCCACTATCATTAACATAAACCTCCACTGGAGGGTATAACCATGTAACAGGCCTAATCAGTGGTGGGAATGGAATGTAGGCCCAATAAGTGTAATTTTGATCTGCCTCAGCTATGGGGAGACTCACTACCAAGGAGACTGCTGCCATCATAGCTACCATTAGATTACTGGTAGTCAGCGGCTTGTTCTGAGACCTCACGTTCTCCTCTGCAATGTGAGCTAGTCTCTTCATCTGCCCACAGGTCGGTTGAGTTGCTTGGTGAGTTTTACTGGTTTCCATCTGCTCAACAGAGGTGTTCATCTGAGCCATCTGATGAACTGGGGGTGCAGGGACGTTCCGAGATCTTCTCCTCTTCCTTGGACTCTGGCTCATGGCACAGCTTAAGATGTCTTGTGGGTACCCAGATAGAAAGCTGATTCTCTCCTGGTGAGATACAAGCAAACCCTCGACCCCAATAAGACCCACTGGGGCCTTTTTTGGGGGCCAGTTTTTTGGCCACTGATAAAGAGCTATGATTGACACATCTGTTCCTGTGTCAACCAGACCCTCAAATTGTTTTCCTTGAATAGTGACCATACAAATAGGTCTATTGTCAGAGACTTGATTTACCCAATAGGCAGCTTTGCCTGCTGAATTTGTGCTTCCAAATCCTCCTGTTCTTTTTTCTGAGTTTTCTCCTAACTTAACATATGGTAAAAGCAACAGTTGAGCTATTCTGTCACCTGGATTAGCACTCCAGGGAACAGTGGAGGAGATAACAATTTGAATTTATCCCTGGCAATCAAAGTCCAGTACTCCAGTATGTACTTGAATTCCCTTTAAGTTTAAGCTGGACCTTCCCATTGTAAGTCCCACCGTGCCGTTTGGCAATGGACTGTAAACTCCCGTTGGGACCTTCCTAGGAGGCTCCCCAAGAAGGAGGGATATGGCTTCGGTACAGCATAAATCTACTGCCCTACTTTTAGCTATGGAGGGGGACAATTGCTGTACATTTGTACAGGGATACACTGGGCTGGGAACACTCCCTTTGGAGTCGGGGACATCTAGTCCTGAATTGGGAATGCCCCGCTTTGTATAGGGGCCCAGTCCCGAGTTTTGCCTTTTTTGGCTCTTTGTACACTCTCTTTTTGTATGTCCTATCTGTCCACAATTATAGCAAGATCCAGGGAACATTCATGTGCTTTTTGTTACGTTTAGTCCAACCATTGCCTGAGCAAGGAGGCTGGCCTTATCTAAATGCCCCCCAATGTCATCGCAGGCTTTAATGTATTCACTTAAGATTTTTCCTCATTTAGATCTGCCTTTCCCTTAATAGGTCTAATTGCTGCCTGACATTCTGTATTAGCATTTTCATAAGGAAGCAGCTGAACAATCACTTTCCTGGCATGAAAATCCGAAATAGACTTTTGAGCCGCGTCTTGCAAACAGGCGGTAAAATCTAGATAAGGCTTCCTTGGACCCTGTTGAACTGAGTTAAAAGAAGGATAAGTAGTACCAGAGTCGTAAATTTTTTTTCCCAGGCTCTTAGGCATATAGTTCTGAGCTGATCAACAGCTTCATCACCCACTACCATCTGTTGATTGAGAGTACCCCATGCCTGTCCGATTCCAAGCAATTGATCAGATGTGCTATTAACAGGAGGTTGGGCTTGAACATTTCTGCGTGCCTGATTTGTTGCTTCATCCATCCACCAGGTTTTAAGTTGGAGAAATTCAGAGGGGTACAGGGTGGATCGGGCTAATGACTCCCAATCCAGAGGTTTTAAACGCCGGTTATAAGCCACAGATTGTAACAAGGAATGAACATAAGGAGAATTTGGCCCATATTTTCCAATGGCTTACTTTAAGTCTTAATATTTTAAAAGGAAATGGCTCCCAGCGTGCTTGAGCATGTTCTCCGGGCTCCTCAGCCGAAGAAATAATTACTGGAAACTGCCAAGCATCCAAATCCCCTATTTCTCGTGCCTGGTGAATGGCTGCCTGGATTTTCCCTGTGCCATAATTTGTATTTGGGCCGGCTTGCAGCATTCCTCTACCATAATTAACAGGTGGACAAGCCGGGATCATTCCCTCACCGTAATTGGCTGTTGGGCAAGCCTGAAGCTTCCCTTCGCCATAGTTAACAGCGAGGCGTGCAACCTTGGGAGCAGCAAGCCTCCCTTCCTCAGGCTCCCTGTTTCAAAAATTCATAAAGCCGAGGCGGGGGTGGCCATTCTGGACCTTCCCCTAAAGGCATAGTAGGTGGCACTGTTTCTGCAGTAGGTGGAACTGTTTTTTCATAAGTTTCTGGAAGTTAGCATATATACCTTCCCATTTCTCCCCCTTTTTAAAACTAGACTGTGATGGTTCACTTTGCTGATCATCGGACTCCTGATTATTAAACTTATCTATGTCATCCTGAAACTCCTCCTCCTCCTCCTCAGTGTGGAAGGGCTCCAGTGCTGTTTTAATTGCCGACCACACAGACCAAAAGGAGAAGGGAATATCGTGGCCCTCTTGTTGTGCTGGTTTTAAGTCTGATCCGACCTTGTCCCAATCTTTTACATTCATGGTTCCATATTCCGGGAACCAAGGAGAATACTTTTCTACCAGATGGAACAAAGATGTGAGATATTGGGTACTCACAATTACCCCTCCGCAGCGCAATAACGGCCGCACCAGGCTTAAGTAATTAGCAAACTTACTCTTAGCCTGACCCATACTTTCCCGAGGTTACCCTGGAATTCTCTGAGCGCCCTACTTACAGGTAGAGCTTGAAGTGAAAACGTACTCAAGCATCCTTTGTCAGTAGTCCTCCACTTTCCACGCTCTGGCGTTCCTTCACCGGATTATTTGTAGGGATTATGTGGAGCCCCGCATTGGGCACCAGATGTTGGGGAAACCAGCCCCACACCACCCGGTGGGTACCCCAAGTCCAGCGGAGACAAAGGAGTTAGAAAGAGACAGAATAAGAGTTTAAAAGGTCAAGGGGACTGGAGCATCGGAGGCTTGCTCAGGGCCCCTAGCTCTCGGCCTTCACCCAATTTATTGGTTTATAAGCTCTTTGCTCTTAGGGCACATGGGAGGGGGAAGAAGGGATGAGGAAAAGAATTAATCAATGAAGGAGAACTTGTGAGTCATTCAATAAGATGTATAGTAGTGGCGGTTTCCCTGAATTTCCTTGAGCAAAGGCGAGTGTCTAAACTACTTAAGATCTTTAACTTATTGGGACTGAAATGGCTGGGAGCGGGTTTCAGGAGGAGCCAAGATGTTTGATTTTACTCCACTGCTTCAAGGGAGTGTTATCTCCCTGAGCAACCTGTGGAATGCCGCTGAGCAGTTATCTCTTGGGGCATAAAGACAGGAAGGCAATAAGGAGACTTTTCTCCTCAGAGGCCACCAATGGCTCCCCATGGGTGTCTCACACAGGGGAGACCAACTCATCTGGCACTCCAGAAACTCTCTTTCCCACAATATGTCTCAGGGATCCATAGAGTTCTGCAATCACATGTTGAAGACTGCTGATCCAATAAAATTCTTAAAAGTAAGGAAGACCAGTAAAGACTAAGAAGTGCATGTATCAGTTACCAATATTAAGGTTAAGAAAGAGACATCACTGTAGATCCTAAAATTACTATAGTTAGAAGGATAAAACTTACATTAAAAAGCATTTAAGAAGGAAAATTAGAACCAATCCTTCATAAACATTGATGCAAAATGCTAAACAAAATATTAAACCAAATATAGTCCTTTATTTAAAAAGATAATATATTACAGCTAAACTTGATTTATTTCAAAAATGAAAATTTAGTTCAACATTTGAAAATCAAACTATATAGTTTACCACATTAACATAATACATGAAAAAATTTATATAATTATATCAACATATTAAAGTAGAAAGTCTTGATAGACTGAGCAAAGTAGCTCACACTTGTGGTCCAAGCAATTTGAGAGGCCAGGGTAGGAGGATCACTTGAGCCCAGGAATTTGAAACCAGCCTCGGTAATATACTGAGAACCCATCTCTGAAAAAAAAAAACGTACTTAATTGACAAAATGTATATGCCCAATGTGTACAACATGATAATTTGATACATACTCATTGATGTGTATATATATATATGTGTGTGTGTATGTATATATATATGTGTGTGTGTATATACAGTGTATTATCAAAGGCAAATAATTTAACACATCCAACACCACCTGTAGTTGCAATTATTTGCATGTGTAAGAGAGTGAGGACACTTATAATCTATTCTGTTATCAAATTTCAAGTAAACAATGCAGTATATCAACTGTAGTAACCATGTTGTACTTTAGGTTCCCAAAACATATTCAACTTATAACTGAAAGTTTATGCTCTTTGAACATCTCCCCATGTCTCCTCTGACAGCCACTATTCTACTTTCTGCCTTTATAAGTTCAACTTTTTTAGATTACAAATATAATTGAGATCATGGTATATTTGTCTTTCTGTGTCTGGATTGTTTAATTTCACAAAATGTCCTGCAGGTTCATCTATGTGACAACATGGATAAACCCACAGGACATTATGTGAAATGAAAAAAGGGCAAGATTTCTTTCTTTTTATGGCTGAACATTATTCCAATATATATGATCTGTGTATATCACATTTCTTCATCCAGTCATTAATGGGCATTCAGTTTACTTCTATAACAGTTTTTGTGACAAATGCAACAGTGAACAAAGAAGTGTAGATATTACTTCAAGACAGTAATTTAATTTCCTTTGGATATATTCCCAGAAATAGAATTGCTAGATCATATAGTAATTCTATTTTTAATTTTTTGAAGAACCTCCATATTTTTCTCAATAATGACCATGCCAATTTATAACCCCACCAACAGTATGCAAGAGTTCCCTTTTCTGCGCATCTTCACCAACACTTGTTATCTCTTATCATTTTGATAATTGCCATTCTAAGAAGTAAAAGGAAATATCTTACTGTAGTTTTGATTTGCATTTCAATGATGATTAGTGACATTGATAAATTTTTTATATACCTGTTGGAAATTTATAAGTCTTTTTGAAAAATATTTATTGAGGTCTTTTGTCCATTTTTAAATCAGATTACTTGGTATTTTATTATCAAGTTGTAGGAGTTCATTGCATATTTTAGATATTAACCACAAATATACAGAACAATCTTGAGCAAGAAAAACAAATTTGAGGCAACCCACTTCATGATTTCAAAATACATTAAAACCCATGGTAATTAAAACAGTATGGCACTGGTATAAAGGCAGACATATAGAACAATGAAACAGAATAGAAGGCCAAGAAATAAACCAATACATACATGGCCAATTGTTTTTCTACAAGGATGTAAATAATTCACAATGGGAAAGGATAGTTTCTTCAATAAATGATATTGAAAAACCTGAATATCCACATGCAAAAATTAGACTCATATCTTATCATATACACAAAAAGTCAACTCGAAATAGATTTACACTTACACATAAGATCTCAATTTTTTAAATTCCTAGGGGAAAAAAACAAGGAAAAGGTTTTTTTGAAATTGGTTTTGGCAATGATTTTGTAGATATGACATCAAAACTATAGGCAGAAAAAGTAAAAATAGGCAATTGCGGCTATAAACTAAGTCAGGTCTATCGAACTAAAAAGCTCCAGCATAGCAAGCAAATAATTCAACAGAGTAAAAGGCAACCTATGCAATGTAGATAATATTTGCAAACTATATATAAGATAGATAATTAATTTCCAAAATGCATACAGAACTCATAACCCGATAGAAAACAGGCTAAATAATTGAATAACATTTTTCCAAAGACTTACAAGTGGCCAATGGGTACATGAAAAATTGCTCAATGTCATTAATCTTCAGGGACATGCATATTCAAAACCACAGTGAGATATCATCTCACACCAGTTAAGATGGCTGTTATCAAAAAAATGAAAGATAAGTGTTGCTGGGGATATGGTGAAATTGTACCTCTTCTACATTATTGGGGAGAATGCAAAATGATGCGCCTTTCATGGAAAACAGTATGGCAGTTTTTAAAAAATTAACCATAGAATTCCCACATTATTCTATTTCCAGCCATTTATCCAGAAGAATATAAAACAAGACATCAAAGAAATAATAGCATGTCAGTATTCATTGCAGCGCTATTTACAAAATTTGCTATTTGTCTAATGAGCCAATGTATATAAACAACTTAAACCATCCATTGACAGAAAAATGGATGAAGAAAATGTGGTTTATACATGACAGCAGAATATTACCAGTCTTTAAGGTCTTTAAAATATTCTGTAATATGCAACAACATGTACAAGCCTTGAAGACATGCTAAGCAAAATAAGCCATTTACAGAAGGACAAATACTGCATTATTTCACTTATATGAGGTATCTAAAATAGTCAGACTCAGACTAGCAGAAAGTAGAATAGTGGCTGCCAGGGGACAAGGGGACAGGGAAATGGGGAGTTGTTTCCTGGTTATAAAGTTTCAGTTATGCAACATGAATGTTGTAGAGATCTGCCGTACACCACCGTGCCTACAGTTAACAATGCTCTATTTTACCTTTAAAAATGTGTGAAGAGATGGACTTTTTATATATTAAGTGTTCAACCACAATAAATATAATAAAAATAAGTATGTGTTATTAAAAAAACACAGCACAATAAGACAAATGATATTATTGTGTGTTAAAATATTGCTCTGTATGTCCATTATGATTGTGACAGTGAAAAATGCTAGTGCCTATTTTAATGTGCTATTTGTCTAATGAGAGTCATCTTAATTTAATGGCCTATGAAGCATATTTAAGAACACATTCGTCTAAGACAACTATTTCAATATTGATCATATTCTAAAAATTGTGCTAAAATTTATAAATGAAAGATGAGAAAAGATCATGTAGATAATTGACATTTGATCTACATTATGGCACTAATTCATTTCCTATGATAATCCATGTTTACATTTATATCTTGATGAAATTTAGAGCTCATTTTTCCCTTCTATGTACATTATAGCTTCTTTTTAGAGAGTGTCCCATTTCAAGGTAAACATCTTTTAGGAATATATCAACATCCTTTCCGAATTCAGACTACATCACACTGTGTGAGAGTTTCATAGTCTCAGTGATATTCTTTTACTGCAACTATGACTGGTTTAAGATAATTTTTTTTCTAAAGCCAAGTTTTGCAAAGATTTTTCTTCAATAATTGCTCACCAGCCTCTGTCCTTCCTTATAAATTACTAATAAAAGAAAAAATATGAGTCCTTTGGATTTTTCATCAATCTTGCACAGCATTCCACACAATGTATGCATTTATATAAATAGTGTATTTACATAAGTATTGCTATAAGATTTGGGAGGATGACTAAGTATTAAGTAAACAACATGCTTTTTCAATCTGTTTTCAATATAACAAATATATTATCATCTTAAGATGTATTTAGAGTGATGTCGTCCTTCTGTTTAAGATAATCCATTGCCTTCTATTGCTCATAGGAAAAAATTAATCCCAACATCTAGTACACCATGGTGAAATATTTGCAAGAATTGATACCTACTTTATCTTACCCTCTACTTGGGCCACTGAAATCCTTACTTAACTATACTACAGAGACGACCAACTGCAATTCAGTTTCCCACTTGATCAAATTGCTTCCTACATCAAGGAATTGATCAGTATTATACTGTTCCTCCTTAGAACACACTTTTCTATTTGCCAATCTAATGTCAAATTTAATGTAACCATCTCAATGATGACGGCATTTAGCCTTTCTAATTGCAGTATCTAAATTAAATGTCTTGACTACCCTCTTAGTAACATATATGTTTCCTTCATAGCACTTATACCTCTTTAAAATTAATTTGTTGATGTGTCCTTTAGTTTGTTTACACCAAGTAGAATATAACCTTCTTGGGAATGGAGAACTTTGCTCCACTTTCTACCTCCTATACTGGGCACAAAATACAGGCCCCCATGCGGGTCAGGGATATGGGAAGGGTTTCACTGGGTGATTCTTACTGTGTTCTATGACTGGTTGACTGGCATCACTCAGTGGTATTCAGCTGATAGCTAAGTACTTGAAGATTCTAAAAAATGCTTACTTACTTCCCTGCCAACCTGACAGAGACGTCTGAGAAACTGAGCTCAGTTGGGTCCCTCTCCTTTTCCATAGTCTTAGCCCCTCTCCTAATTGTTTATCCTGCAGCATAGTAGGACTTCAAAAATGGAATCTCAGGATTACCAATCTAGCAACTCATAGTACCATTCTACTATATTCTATTGCTTAAGCAGTCAAAGGGCAGCCCAAACTCAAAAGGAAAAGAAATAGACCTACTTGATGGAGGTATAGCAAATATTTTGTAACTATTGTTAGTTTGACACATATATTAACAGGAGGAATGCTTTGTTTCTTATGGAGAAATCAGATTCCAACAGAGAGCTGGATTCTATATGTGAAAAAAATCACACCTGCCCAAACACAAGTAGGCATGCCTAACAGGTAGCAAGAGTAATCCTTCATCTTAAATTATGGTTTCTTTTTTAATTTAAGTTTTTTTCAGCTTTATTGAGATATAATTGATGAATAAAAATTATACATATTTATGGCATACAAGGAATGTTTTGATATATTCATACATGTTGAAATGATCACCACAATCAAGCTCATTAACATACCCATCACCTCACATAGTTACTGTTTGTTGTCTGCATGTATGTGTATATGATTAGAACTTTTAAGGTCTACTCTCTTAGCAATTTTCAAGTAACTAATTATTATTAGCTATAGTCACCATGCCCCACACTGTACCACCAAAATATATGCATACTGTCTAACTGAAACATTTTACTCTTTGACCAACTTCTTCCCACCCCCACATGGTTTCTTTGCTTATGTGAAAATGCACACTTTCTTTTTTTTTTTTTTTCCTTTTTCTTTTTTTTTTTTTTTTTTTTGAGACGGAGTCTTGCTCTGTCACCCAGGCTGGAGTGCAGTGGCCTGATCTGGGCTTACTGCAAGCTCCACCTCCTAGGTTCAAGGGATTCTCCTGCCTCAGCCTCCTAAGTAGCTGGAACTACAGGTGCCTGCCACCACGGCTGGCTACTTTTTTGGAAAATGTGCACTTTCATATAGAGAATGGATTTTGATAAATCCAAATTGAAAGCTATTCAATGGGGATTTAAAAATCACAAATACACCCGAATGTTTTACTTATCACAGCTTCTGAGACATAAAATATGCAAGTATTTTCAGTTCCACGGTTTTACATCATAGATTTTATTTTAACACAGGATTATAGTCTGGTTTTAAATTGTCTTTCTTTCTTGTTTTTTTTTTTTTTTTTTTGACGAGGTCTTACTCTGTTGCCAGGCTGGAGTGCAGTGACATGATCTCGATCTTGGCCCACTGCAACCTCCACCTCCCCGGTTCAAGCAATTCCCCTGCCTCAGTCTCTCAAGTAGCTGGGATTATAGGCATGTGCCACTACACCCGAGTAATGTTTTGTATTTTAGTAGAGACAGGGTTTCACCATGTTTGCTAGGATGGTCTCGATCTCCTTACCTCGTGATCTGCCCGCTTTGGCCTCCCAAAGTGCTGGGATTACAGGCGTGAGCCACCATGTCTGGCCAAATTTTTTAAATTAAATATTGAACACAGAAAGAAGAACAGAATGTATAAGAAAACTGAACTTATCGGTCATGAATAAAACATCATTTTTAAAAACATCCATCCCCAAAATCAATGTCAGACTTAAATTTTCATCAAAATAAAGAGTGTGGAAGGCTATATCACTTTGACCTTAATAAACATTTCCTTAGTCACTTATAAAGTTATCATTTTTTAATATGTTTATTGGCCATTCACTTGTCTTTTGTGTGAAGTGCTATAGAAATCTTTACTTCATTTTAGAAAAATGGAGCTTATTTTATTTTCCAATGATTTAAAAAGTTTATTTTTTCAAATGTCTTTCAGTTGGTGGCATGTTTTAATACTCACTTTTTTATAAGTAGCAAATTCTCTATTTTAATGTATTTAAATTCGTGAATTAATTTTAGTGGTTTCAGCTCTTCTCACTTGTGTTAAAGAGCACATCTTCTTGCTCTAATTGTATATGTATAATCTTTTACATTTTCTTCATAAAGTTTATAGATTTGCCTTTTACACTTGAGCATTTTTTCCTTTTGAAAGAGGTATTTGTTCTTCCAGAGTAGATAGCAGAATTTCCCAGAACAATTTATTGATGAGTCAGTCATTTCCCCAATAAACTTCAGTGGCAGCTCAGTTATGAATCGAGCCTTTACATATGCATGTATCTGCATCTTGGTTATATATTACATTAAATTACTATAGTTGTTTATCTCTGCGCCTAAATTCTCTATCTTAATTACCATAGATCTTCTTATATGATGGAGAATTCCAACCACGTTGTTATTCCCATGCAAAATGAATTTGCTGTTCCACCTGCTCTGGTATTAAGATTGCAGCCTCTGCTTTCCTTCAAAATGCATTTGTTTGGAGTGTACTTGCCACTCCTTTTATTTTCAACCTTTAAGAATCACATTGCTTAGATGGTGACCTTTATTTATAGAAAGAATTGAATTTTGTTTTGTGATCCAATTTTTCATCAAGGAAGTAAGTCCATTTACATTAGATTATATAAGACAAGACATGTCATTTTTTTGTTTGGATCATGTTTATCATCTTTTCCTAATATGGTTCATTTCTTTGTGTAGTGTGTGTATGTTTGTGTGTATGCACAGGCACACACACGTATTTGAATTATCTAATATTTAAGAAAATAAGTATATTTATACTAGGGGTTAGCTTTGTGATCACTTTATATTTTGTGTATACAGTAATGTTACCATATAACACACATAGTATATAGCATATGTATACACACACACATATATATAGTGTGTATATGTATTTAATCTATAGTTGCTCTAAAGACTTCGTAATGTAAACAATGATAAAATTAATGTTTTCTCTGTTTTTTGTTTCCTCCTCTTCCTTAAAAACTCGGTACTAGTCACTATACTATACTTTAAAGTGCACTTTTGTAATCAAGCTAATAACTATATATCTATCACTTGAGTTTTCACTGTTGAACAATGGTTTTTTCACACTGAGATGAGGCAATAGGCAATATTTTTCTAACTTTTTTATTTTCCTTTTTCTCTCTCATTTTTTAAAAGTTAATAGACTTTATGTCTTACAGTGTGAGGTTTACAGAAAATATGAACAGAAAGTATAGAGAGTAACTACATACTGCCTCTGCCTCTCCCTCTGCACACAGTGACCTCTATTATTAACATCCTGCATTAGTGAGATACATTTGTTACAAATGAAGAACCAATATGAATACATTATCAACTAAAGTTTATAGTTTACATTGCAGTTCACTCTTTTGTGTTGCACAGTTCTATGGGTTTTGGTAAATGTATAATGTCATGTTTCCACCATTACAGTATCATGTAGAAGAGCTTTATTGCCTTAAAAATCCCCTAAGCTCTACCTATTTATCCCTTCCTTCTCCTTGCTACCCTAGCAACCACTGGTCTTCTTATGGCCTCTATAGTTTTGCCTTTTTCAGAATTTCTTACAACTGGAATCATACGGAATGCACCCTTTTCAGACTGGCTTTTTTTTTTTTTTTTTTTTTTTTGCTTACCAGTATGTAGTCAATGTTCTTCCATGTCTTTCTGTGATCTCATAACATTTCTTTTCATCACTGTGTACTATTACATTGTATGAATGTACTATAGTTTATCCACTCACTGATCAAAAGGAGTTTTGGTTGTTTCTAAATTTTGGCAATTATGAAAAAAGTTGCTATAAACATTTGTGTGCCATTATCTGTGTGGACATACATTTTAAAATTATTTGGGTGATACTAAGGAGTATGACTGCAGCAATGCATGAGCTCCTGTTGCTTCACATCTTCACTAGCATTTGATATTGTCAGTGTTTTGTATTCTGGCCATCCTAATGGGTAGGACTATGGAACAAGACTGAATTCTAAGATGTAGGCATGCCTTTCCCTCTGGTTTTCTAACTAAACTCAATGTAAGAGAGCATTCAGAGAGTAGCCACTAATAACTGAAATCCACCAAAACTCCCCAGAGTAATTTAGTATTGAAAAGCACTCATAATCACCATCCATGAAATATTTAGCAAGCTCATTCAACCTCCCCCCACAATCTTTGTTATAGCTAATAAAAAGATAGAAGGATTTACTGAATTAAATTGCCTTAGCTTAATAATTCTGCAGAGAATGAAAGAACTTGTCAAGAGACCAGAAAATACGAGAAATAGAAATAAAACCACCTTTGCAAAGATTATGACAGTGAGAGAAGTCTAGCATGGCTGACTCTATCTTGCTTCTAGCCTCAGAGGCTGGCTGTCCTCACTCATTCCTAGAAGTAGGCCAAGCTAACCACAGAAGGAATTCAGTTTACAGTTTAACTTTGAAGCAAGGATAATAATAGTTTCTCCCTAAAACTGACCCCCTCCTTGTTCTGAAACCACTTTTGTAAGATTTATTGAAGTCCACAAGACTAGGATTATGGGACAGGCCTGAATTCTGCTAAGATGTAGGCATAGCTTGCTTTTCTATAACTGTTTACTGCATTGGAGGTCACAAGATTTGTAGCTTCCCCAATTGTTTGTATTGGTAACATCACCATTGTAGAACCTAAGATTGGTCTTTCAGGGTTTTTTTTTTTTAGACTTCTGTATTCTGGTGAACAACTGACTCCATGTGGACCAAAGACTCATGACTCAGCTGGTCCTGTGGCCCTCACCCAGAGGCTGACTCAATGCATCAGGGCCATTTTCCACACCCCAACCAATCAGCAGCACCCATTCTCTAGCCCCCTGCCTACCAAGTTATCCATAAAAGCCTCAGAGTTCTTGGGATGGCTGACTTGAGTAATAGACTCCTGTCTTTCCATTTGGCTAGCTGAGTTTATTAAACTCTTTCTTGATTGAAATACTGCTTTCTCTGAATTGACCCTATTTGTGCAGCAGGGAACAGGAACCCATCATGCTATTATAAAAGGTTGTATCTCTCATTGGGATTGTTTTGTTTCCAAAGACACACTTTAAAGAGAGGACATAGGAGAGGCATCTGGCTTAATCCTTGAAGAAAATTTCATTATATCAACTGTAGAGGCCATAGCCATTCCCTCCTAAAGGTTCACCGAAAAACCACTGGGATGAAGTAAATTGATTAATAGGAGAAAAAGCACACAAATTTGCTTAACGTGTATACACAGGAGCCCTCAGAATAAAGATTCAACTTCACAGTAAGTTTCAGAAACTTACATACCATTTGGAGGTTACAGAAACAATGACGACATCTATCCTGGTAAGGCAGGTTATGGGAGGGAGGAGAAGAGGAAGTCTATTGAGGGGCAATAAATAATTGCTAGGGAGAATGATTAGATCAGAGAACAGAGATTAACTTGGAAACAGTTGTCTTTGAAATTTAAATAGTCCTTAAAGACAGTTATTGTACTTGTGAAAAGTTCTGATGAGGTGTGCTCACATCTTGGTCTTCTATCTGCAGTAGATAGTGAACTAACAGGGAGAGGAAATAAAATATAATTGTTTTCCTTAGTGGGTCTGAATCTTAGCAGATTAAAAAAACAAAACAAAAAAACAAACAAACGAACAAAAAAAAAAACCTTTTAGCTTCTCTAGGGGAAATGGTGAAGGAGGTTGGTCAGAAAGACCTTGAGGCTTCTTTAGTTCAGCATGTCAAAATGTCATATATGGGGGGTATTGGGTTTCTGAGTCCTAATGTAACTTTACATGGGAAGATGCTTAATAAATCTAAGGCAGTCTTCTCTATAGCACCTTACTTCCTCCATGTTCATGTGTATTGATTCCTCTTTTTTTTGTGTGTGTGATGGAGTCTCGCTCTGTCGCCCAGGCTGGAGTGCAGTGGCACAATTTCGGCTCACTACAACCTCCGCTTCCTGGATTCAAGCGATTCTCCTGCCTCAGCCTCCCGAGTAGCTGGGACTACAGGCGCGTGACACAATGCCTGGCTACTTTTTTGTATATTTAGTAGAGACGGGGTTTCACGGTGTTAGCCAGGATGGTCTCGATCTCCTGACCTCGTGATCCACCGGCCTCGGTCTCTTAAAGTGCTGGGATTACAGGCGTGAGCCACCATGCCCGGCAGATTTCTCTATTTAAAGAAAAAAAAAAATTTCTGATATCTATCCACTGACTAGTAGAAAAATAGCATGACGTGACATAGTTTTATAATCCACAGAGAACAAGGGTCTCTATCACCATTCCAGAAGTGGGTGTTAAATCAGGAAGACAAAATATTGAAGGTAGACAGCCAGGCTTCCATCTGTGCCTAAAACTATCTGCACCGAAGGACAGAATCCGCTTTGGAGATGCATATTAAGAAAATAGCTTCAGAGTCATTTTTTGCTAGTGCCCTAACACCAGAAAAGAACTTAATTATTTGTTCTAATTACGGTGCAAGAAAAAAAAAATGGCAGAAAAAATTTTTGTAGGGAGGTAAGCAATGCGTTTGAGAAAGAAAGGCATGCAGGTACCCACAAGCCATCTCAGGAAGAAGCAGATTTTAAAGCAGGAAGGAAACAGAAAACGTGCAGGGACTTCCATAATCAGAATGGACCATGGACACCCAGAGAAAGATGGATACTTAATTCTAACCTGAGGACATTGACACAACCAATGCCTATGAGGATTTTGAGAACCACTGTGGCAGAGTCTAAAGCTGGGCAGTGGCACATATTTATTAAAACTCTGATGAGGCATAGAGGGCAGAAGGAGGGCAAAGTTAACAAGGACAAGCACATTAGTGTAGTGGGGTGATGAAGGGCCTCATTAAATCTTAATTGTCTGAGAAATTTTCTATTTATTTGCTCTAATTCCTAATCAATTCCAAGAACTCAACCTGCTCAAATATTGTTTCATTTGGAAGTATAAGCAACATGATTTTTCTGATTAAATGAGCTTTCCCTGTCCCTTCACATACCAATCAGCTGCCAATCAATGTCTAATTGTAGACATCCATATGAGTTAACTGGGGCTGTTACCCAAAAACATAAAGCTTGTGATCAGCTGGGGCTGTTACCCAAAAACATAAAGCTTGTGATCAGCTATACATTTTATTGTCCACTCTTAGTAATGCTCTCAATTACATTTATAAAACAATTACTTTTAACAGCTATTTGCTTTTTAAAAACAAGCAATAGGTAATATTTTCAGTTTGGTACTAGAATGTTAAATTTGGGGGCAGTTTTGTGTTTGGTGTTGCCGTTTGCCTATTGCCAGAAAAATTCTGCTTTATAAAAGCAAATCAGAGTGCCTTTTTATATTATGAAGCGTTACTTAGAGAGCTATGGCAATCACATTTTTAAATAGACTTCTTACTTACCATAGCATAATGTCCTAGAGTGAAGTGTTTCTCTTAGAGAACAGTTTTATTTTAGTCATTTTTTACCAGTTTTGCTAGTGTATTTCATGGTCTTATAGACCTGATAAGAAGAGAAAATATGAATCAGAATTAGAGTGGGTTAAATCACAAATATTAAAATTAGATCAGAGTTCTTCTTATCCCAACTTATTGTCCATACGCAATAAAAATCATTTTTTAATAGAAACAGCAAAGATCAAGCTATGATGTTACAGCCACTGAAATGTTTGCATATCAATAATGGAATAGGAATTTCATTTAATTAAGACAGTCTAGCAAATATTAGGGCATTATAATAATAGCATGTTGGGTGCAGTGGCTTATGTTTGTAATCCCAGAACTTTGGGAGACTGAGGTGGGAGGATCACTTGCTCCCAGGAGTTCAAGAGCAGCTTGGGCAACATAATAAGACTCCATTGCTACAAAGAATTGAAAATTTAGTCAGATGTTGTGGCACATGCCTGTATTCCCAGCTACGCAGGAGGTTGAGGTAGAAGGATTGCTTGAGCCTGGGAGGTCGAGGCTGCAGTGAGCCATTGTCATACCACTGCACTCTAGCCTGGGGAACAGAGTGAGATCTTGTCTCAAAAACAAAAACAACTACAACAAAAAATTTTAAAAAACAATAGTGGCAAACAAAAGCAGTAATATAAATAAATCTATAAATATGCCAAAATGATCTTGCCTGTGATATGTCTAAAATATGATCTATTACAAAACAACAACAACAAAAAAACAAATTTAAACTCTTCTTGCCCACCATATAGGAGGAAAGACATTTTTCACTTCAAAGTAAGTTATGGACTCAAATATAGTGAGAAAAAATATTTATTTTCTGTTAATTATTAAGTGACTGGCAGAAATCAATCAGGAAAGAGTTATAGAGCACCCTGGGGACCCTAATTCCCTAATATATGTTACAGGAATGTAGTCCTCATTTTCAGCAAATGTACAACCTTGAAAGACAAACCGACAGATATAATATCATAAGAAACTTAAATACAGCGTTATATGATCATTTGTTAAACGAGTTCAATTACTTTAGTTCAGAAAAAATAAATATTGTGAGGGGATAGGAAGCTGTGGTGTTCATCGGAAGAGATCGTGATGTTAGAAAGGCTGAGGTGGACTTTGGAGAAATGGCACATTTTGCATGAGTAATAAATAAAAGAGTTCAGACAAGTGCAAACCTAGGGGAATAGCAAAAGCGAAGACATACAGGGGGTGAAAATTGAAATGGATTATATATGCAATATGAAGAAGACTTGGACATCTACAGTAAGAATTATGTGTTGGGGGTTAGAGTGGATAAAATTATTTATGGACAGTTAAGGGTAGTATCAATGAATCAATGACAGCCAAATGAGAGCATTTAAGTTACCAAGGTCAGGTAATAAGTATATTCATGATTCCTTGTGATTAGGGTCCTAATGAAAATGAAAAGTCAAAAGAAAATCCAGGTCCCCTGGCTGGAAAGGTGCTTCAAAACACACACACACACACACACACACACACACACACACACACACACACTTTCTTTGAAAAATTATAGGTTAAGAGGTCACCTAAAAGCTAAGTAAAGTTAAACTGTGGAAAGCAGTTACAAATAAAATGCATTACCTTGAGTTAATGTGCTTCTTACCCTAAAAGCTTTGAGGAAATAGGCTATTGCTCATGGGACTGTGTGAATTATCTGATATGTGTTCAAGGTCATTTCAAAATAAAGAAAAAATTGAAGGAGACAAATAGTAACTCACCCTAGGTTACAGACTCCTCAGGGTGCTTCCCCTCTGCAAACAATATTACCAACCTTAGATTTGAGGTAATTCACCTCTCCCCTCAACCTTCTCACCACTTCCTTTCACAGCAAGGTGATTGATTAAAGGGGTTGTCAGATTCTCTTTAATAACTAGAAGCACAGATGGATTGATTGTCACATTAGTGGCAACACTCTGAGAGGAAAGGAGTTGAAATAGAAATTCCGGCAATTGCAGCCAAGCAGAAATAGCCTGTACTATCAACCTATTATTTTTTGTTTGCTCAGTGGTTTGGTTACCAAAAGCAAGGAAAATGTAAACGAGGTTGTTGAATAAGCTTTTACTTTGAAGTAATATCTTCCTAATAAATGTGGAATTCTAAAAACAGTGAAGTTAACAAAATTATCTGCAGAATCCTTTTGTATTAAAAATAAACATATTAATAAACATTTACATCACCAGAGACAACATAGCCTGTTCAGACTTTTCTAATTTCTTAATGGCTTTAACTTATTAAATACAGCCTCTAAATGAGCATATTTTAATCTTTATAAATTACCACCAGAAATCTCATTTAAAAAGCTTCTGAAACAAAAACAATTTTAAATAATTTACTAGACTTTTTTCTAATATCCTCTTTTAAATTATAAAATAAAACCACAACTAATATCCATTGTCACCATATGGATGACCACTAATGGATATTAATTCGTGGGCTGTCATCTCCCTTTTAACAGTCTTCTATACTAGATAAATTCCCTGAACCTTCATGGTATATGTGCTCATGAAAGAAAGTCAATCTTAATACATCATATTGGTTCTGACTGAAGTGCTGATTTGATGATTGAAATGCATCTATCATAGCATATGTTTACAAATCTTTATAAAACCTAGGGGTGTGCAGTTCCTTTTACTGATATAGCAAATTTTATTGTTACTATGAACTGAAACAATAAAAGGAGAAAAAATGATGTCAATTTTTTATCTTAGGTTTTCTGTTACAAACCTCACCATTTAAATATAGGCAAAATTCATCTACACCAATCTGATTATAGCTTACATTTCAAAACAAAACAAATGCTATTACAATTAAAATGATCTTTCACACAACCCTTCAGCTAGCTCTGTGCTACAGAAAAATAGGCTAAGGTTGTAAGCTTAGAAGGAAAGAAGGACTATCTGTGTACTTTCTATACATTAGCTCCCTGTTTCAATCATTGGTCATCTAGTTTTGTGATTAGCTTTATATAGATATGGTAATTCACAATTTATCTACAACACTTTATAGTTTATCTGTAAGCGTTTATGGATGCCATTGGACATAATATATGCGATCTGAAATGGTTTCAGGACACATTTGATTAACAATTTTTAGTCAAAGCTGAAGTATTAAAGCAAATATTATAATGTGCTCTTTAAAAAGTAATGAACTAGGAACTACTAATGAACTAGGCATGCTGAGTTATAGTTTCTAAGTTAAATTTTCGAAATAGTTTTCTATGATACTCCAGTAATAGGCTGTTAACACTGTAGTAGATTGTCCTCAAAGGCAGCTGTTAACAGATCCTCCCATACTGGCGTGTACATGCTGTTCTTCCCAGCAAGAGATGAGAATCTTTTACTCCTCTCTTTAAAGCCAAGCTGGCCCTGTGACTTCTCTTGATTCATAGAATATGCCAAAAATGACATTCTGAGATTTTCAGTCCTTAGTCTTAAGAAGTCTTGAAGTGTCCCGCTTTTTTTTTTTTCTTGGAAAACAGCCACATAGCCAAGAAAAACAACTAGCCTGCTGGAGAGAGGTCCTACAAAGATAAAGAAGCCATGGAGAATGGAAGAAAAAAAAGAGAGAATAGTCCAGCCAGCTTCCAACCATTCCAGACGTCCAAATTGAGGTGTCAGACAGGTGAGGGCAGCCATCTTGAGTTCTCCAGCGTCAAATAAGCCCTCAGCCAAGAAGACATGGAGCAAAGATGAGCTGTCTCTGCTGAGTCCTGAAGAAACTGAAAATCATGAGCAAATAAATATTTAACTATTGATTGGTTTTAGGCACTATATTTTAAGAAAGTTTGTTATGCAGCAATAAATAATTGAAACAAAACTCTTTACAGATTTTCATCTGAAGACAATTATTCTTCATCCTGCTCATTGCTTTCTCTTTCCTTTGCTTTTCTCTCCTTTTCCTTCCCTCCTTCCTTTCTTCTTTCCTTTTCTTATTTCTTTCTTCTCTGCACCTCAGTGCTAGCTGCTCTGTCTCAGGGGCTATAAAAATATAGATGGTAAAACCTGGATTCTACTCAAACTGACTTTATAAAACAATAATGAAAAACATGCTTATAAATGCATAACTACAATATAACAACAATATAACAAGAATAAGAACACTCAGCTACACTAAGGGAACATTAAGTAATTTTCTGTATGTAATTTTATTATCTGCTGCTCTCCATGGTGTTGGAAAACTTGTTTGAAAGAATTACCAAAAGGAGAGTTTTGATGAAGTGGGGAAAAGTTAATGCTTAAGTACATTTATATTTGTCTCATCCCACATCCATTTCTGTGCCAGATAAAGCTAGCGAGAACCATTCTTCCAGACACAGTGATTCTAAGTTAATATCTAGACAAAAGAGGAGGAAGGTCATTGTTTAATTATTTAGAAGATACAATAAGAGATGACAGAGTTTGGGCAACTTAGTGAGTGATCTCCATGGATAGAATGTCCTCCTCTATTGCAAACTTTGTCCACCATTCCTGTTTTCTAGCATTCATTTTTAGAAATCCTAAATATTTATTAGTCTTTTGAAAAATTAAGTATAGGGGAACATAGAAGTAGCTTGCAAATAGAAAAGAAAAAAAAATTGGATAAGAATAACCAGGTTTCTGGAAATTGTTCCTGCTATTTCTGATGGTGTAAATAAATGACATGAAGACCTTAGACAATTCTTCCTAGAAAAAACACTTATAGAAACTGGGCAAAAGTGTTAAAACAAATATTTGAAGGTAATGGAAAGTGACCCAAGAAAAAGTGAGAGGAAAATAAGAGGAGATTATTATGAAGAGAGTGCTACTGCTTCTACAAAAACTGTGGGCTTACTGTTTTTTTTCTCATGAGGCACTCAAGGACCCACCACTCCCACTCTCTAACTCTTCCTGTGGGAAACTGGATCATGGGGAAGATGACAGGACTTAGAGCAGTAGGACAGCTGGAAACTTAAAAAGAGAGGATTCTGAAAATGAGGCAGCTGTAGAAGGGAGGAAATCTAAAATATGAATAATATATTTGAATAGTAGCTAGTATATACATGTATTCTGTTTCAACCCCAACTGAGTGCATCACAATTCAATTATGGTACTAACCACCTGGAGTTACTGCAAACCCCATAAGTTAAAGCAGGCAGTTCCCAACCAGGCTACCCTTGTTTCAAATTCCAGCCACTCATCAGGGGTTCCTAGGCCATCTGCATTTCTGACTGACAAGCTGTAAATTTGTAGGTTCTTATGACTCTCTCAGGTTTAATTTACTAGAATGACTTTCAGAACTCAGGAAAACTGCTGTATTCACAATTACAGTTTTGTTACAAAGTGCACAATCACAAGAACCAACTAAGTGAAGAGATGCATAGAATGAGATCGGGGAGGAAATGCAGAACTTCCATTCCTTCTTCTTGTAGAATCACTCTCTCAACACATCAGTGTGCTCACCAACCAGGAAGCTCTATTTAGACTTTGTGTCTCAAAATTTATTGAGGTTTGATTATGTAGGCATGATTGATTATATTATTGGCTATGTGACTGAGCTCAATCTCTATCCCCTTTCCCCTCCCCAGAGATAAATGGTCAAGAACCAACCCTGGCGCTACATGGTTGGTCTCTGTAGTGATCAGCCCCCATCCTGTAGCTATTTATGGATACATCATTAGTCACCTCACTAACTTAAAAAATAAACTCTTATCACTCAGAAAATTCCAAGGACTTTAGAATACCCCTGTCCAGAATTTCAGATAAAGATCTAACAATTTATTATTATAAAACAGGATGGGAGATACAAGTAAGCCCAGAAAAAAAAAAAAGTCAGAAACTAGAAGGAAAGCTAAACTTGAAGAGCCTAACTGTGCATAGTGAGATTTTTGAGTTACTGTACCTTTTGACTACATGTAATCTGTAAACCACATAAAACTTAAGCAGCAAGAGGAAGTAAGACACATTTAAATCAATGATTTAGGTGTTGTCAAACTTAAATAATTAAATTTATAGAATATCACAAAGTATAGAGTTTATTCAAGCCCAAAGCTTAAAGATAGCCATCCAGCAACATATATTCAAGTTTCCATGAATATACACTCTGACTAGCAGCAGTTATAAGTGCATTTTAAGGAAAAAGGAGAGACAGTTCCTAAGCTGTTTACCAAGAAGTTTCATTAAAATAACATATACAATTTTTTTCTTTTCTTTTTTTTTGAGATGGAGTCTTACTCTGTCACCCAAGCTGGTGTGCAGTGGCAGGATCTTGGCTCACTGCAACCTCTGCCTCCTGGGTTCAAGCAATTCCCCTGGAAATAACATAAGCTATTGATTGGCTATACATTATTCTTTATATCACAAATCCCAGAAACATGGAGATAATGAGTGAGGCAGCTAGTCAAGCACAAAAATAATTTTAAGGATTTGCTCCACAGGCGTGAGAGCAGGGGGTGTGACCGAAGTTCCATACTCTTGTCTTTGGGCCTGATAAATTGTACATACCTCTGATAGCTCAGATTACTCTGAGATATTTTTCTTTTTGGTGATTACTTTTTTCTTTTCTTTTTTTTTTTTTCAAGACAGAGTCTTGCTCTGTTGCCCATGCTGGCGTGCAGTGGCGCGATCTCAGCTCATTGCAACCTCCACCTCCTGGGTCCAAGCAATTCTGCTCAGTCTCCTAAGCAACTGGATTTACAGATGCATGCCACCAGGCCCAGCTAATTGATATTTTTTTTTAGTTTCATCCCTTTTTATCAGGATCTTTCAAAGAAAGCATACTGGATGAACTCAAATGATTTTGGCTCCTTTTTTATTTAGGAACTTAGTTTTGTGTCATTAGGAAGGCTAATTTCTGAATGGTCCCATCTCATGGTGAGGGAGTAAGAGGGAGAGAATACATCTCAGTTAGAAATTTTAAGAACACCAAAATTTGAATTGGGATGACATAACAAGGTGGCAAAAATGAGAACTCAGAAAAGTTACTAATTCATACAGCTGCTGTCATTTGTTGAATCATCTCCAGTCTTTGGAATACCACGAGTTAATTTTCTTGGATGAAGTAAAAAACAAGAGGTACATGGTAGAGATATAATGCACAGAACAATTCTAATCAAAAGAGAATTTGTATGACAGAATGAAAAAAATTCTCTTCCATTTGGAAGTCAACTAAAAACATCATTAAAAAATTAAAATATAGTCCTATAGAGATGTATTGTAGCCAGGAAATAATTTAGGATCTAGTCTCAACTGTAGGAAAATAATAAAATCTCAAAAACAATGGTAACGGCTAGAATCTAATAAAAGACACACAGCAGTTTTCTGCTGAAATAAAATTTTTCTCTCTCTAGCTCCCCATTTCTATTAAAGATACATTTTAATAGGATCAATTTATTTATAAAATAAGTTTTGGTATCTTACTTGACATGATTATTGTTTAAAAGCCTATATGGGCAATCACTCTTACTGTTGCAACAAAAAGATTGATTGGCCATATAGGCTTTTAAGATAGTTTATTGTATTTTTTAGATATGGGGTTTCTCTATGTTGCCCAGGCTAGTATCAAATTACTGGCCACAAGTGATCTTCCTCCCTTGGCCTCCAAAACTTCTGGGGTGATCCACCATGATCCACCATGTCCAGCCCATATAGACTTTTTAAAGGTGGTTTGTGGAAATTTTTTATAAGAAGTCTCAGATTAGACTTTTAAAACCCTCTTGAAGCTAGGCAGTTGAGACAAGGATTTGCCATCAGACTGTGCCCATATTTGTAAATATCTTTAGGCTCCTAGGCTTGTCAGAACGTGACATTATTTATAAGGGACCTTGCAAGGGAACTATGCAAACCCATGTTTCCAAGGTATTTTTGTGGTTGTTGTTGTTGTTTGCTTTTGGTTTTTTTAACAGGATCTTGCTTTATTACCTGGCTGCTGGAGTGCAGTGGCATAAACATAGCTCACTGCTGCCTCGATCTTCTGGGGTCAGGTGATTCTCCTGCCACAGCCTCCCAGGTACCTAGGACTACAAGCATCCACCACCATGCTGGGCTAACGAAGGGGCTTTTTATCATCTCCATAAAGAAACTTCAATTCCTCAAAGCAGTCTGATCAAATCTGAAAATATGTCTTTTCAGTCAAAATCTTGGTAAAATAAGCAGTGCATTCAATTGATATGGTTTGGCTCTGACCTCACCCAAATCTCATCTTGAGTTGTAGCTCCCATAATTCCCATGTATCATGGGAGAGACCCCTTGGGAGGTAATTGAATCATGGTGGCAGGTCATTCCTATGCTATTCTTGTAAGAGTGATGAAGTCTTTTGAGATCTGATGGTTTCATAAAAGGGGAGTTCCCCTGCATATATATTCTTACTTGCCACCATGTAAGATATGCCTTTGCTCCTCCTTTTCCTTCCACCATGATTATGAGGCCTTCCCAGTCATGTGGAGCTGAGCCCATTAAACCTCTTTTACTTTATAAATTACCCAGTCTTGGGTATGTCTTTATTAGCAGCATGAGAACAAACTAATACAGTAAATTGGTGCCAGATAGTGGGGCACTGCTGTAAGGATAACTGAAGATGCAGAAGTGACTTTGGAACTGGCTAACAGGTAGAGGTTGGAACAGTTTGGAGGGCTCAGAAGAAGACAGAAAGGTGTGGGAAAGTTTAAAACTTCCTAGAGGCTTGTTGAATGGCTTCGACCAAAATGCTGATAGTGATATTGACAGTAAAGTCCAAGGTGAGGTGGTCTCAGATGGAGATGAGAAACTTTTTGGGAACTAAAGCAAAGGTGACTCTTGTTATGCTTTAGCAAAGAGACTGGTGACATTTTGCCTGTTCCCTAGAGATCTGTGGAACTTTGAACTTTAGAGAGATGATTTAGGGTATCTGGAGGAAGACATTTTTAAGCAGCAAAGCATTCAAGAGATTATTTGGGTGCTATTAAAGCTTTCAGTTTTATGTATTGACAAATATATCGTTTGGAATTGGAACTTACGTTTGAAAGGGAAGCAGAGCTTAAAGTTCAGAAAATTCACAGCCTGACAATGCACTAGAAAAAAAAGACACATTTTCTGGGGAGAAATTCAATCCAGCTGCAGAAATTTGTATAAGTAACAATGAGCCAAATGTGAATTTCCAAGACTATAGGGAAAATGTCTTAAGGGCATGTCAGAGACTTTTGCAGCTACCCCTCCCATCACAGGCCTGGAGGCCTAGGAGGAAAAAAATAATTTTTGTAGGCCAGACCCGGGGCCTTGCTGCTTTGTGCAGTTTCAAAACTTGGTGCCCTGCATCCCAGCTTTGGCTAAAAGGGGCTAACATACAGCTCAGGCCATTGCTTCAGAGGATGCAAACCCCAAGCCTTGGTGGCTTACATGTGGTGTTGGGCCTGCAGGTGCACAGAAGTCAAGAATTGAGATTTGGGAACCACCTCCTAGATTTTGGTGGATCTATGGAAATGCTTGGATGTCCAGGCAGAGGTGTGCAACAGGGATAGAGCCCTCATGGAGAAACTCTGCTAGGGCAGTGCAGAGGGAAATGTGGGGTGGGAGCCCACACACAGAGTCCCCACTGTGGCCCATCCTAGTGGAGCTCTAAGAACAGGGCAACAGTCCTCCACACCCCAGAATGGTAGATCCACTGACAGTTTACATCATGTGCCTCCAAAAGCCAAGACACACAACACTAACCCATGAAACAACCAGGAAGGGGGCTCTACCCTGCAAAGCCACAGGAGAAGAGCTGGCCAAGACCATGGAAACCCACCTCTTGCATCAGTGTGACCTGAATGTGAGACATGGAGTTGAAGGAGATTATTTTGGAGCTTTAAGATTTGACTGCCTGCTGGATTTTGTACTTGCATGGGGCCTGTAGCCCTTTCATTTTGGCCAAATTTCTCCCATTTGGAACAGGTGTATTTATCCAAAGCCTGTACCCCCATTATACCCAGGAAATAACTAACTTGCTTTTGAC
This sequence comes from Homo sapiens, assembly GCF_000001405.40. Taxonomy (NCBI): domain Eukaryota; kingdom Metazoa; phylum Chordata; class Mammalia; order Primates; family Hominidae; genus Homo; species Homo sapiens. The sequence continues at coordinate 48,851,701 of NC_000006.12, read as the reverse complement.
TTTGCAGGCTCCTAGGTGGAAGGGACTTGTCTTGTCTCAGATGAGACTTTGGACTGGGGACTTTTGAATTATTGCTGAAATGAGTTAAGACTAGGCGGACTATTGGGAAGACATGATTGGTTTTGAAATGTGAGGACATGAGATTTGGGAGGGCCCAAGGGCAGAATTACATGGTTTGTCTGTGTCCCCACCCAAATCTCACATTGAATTGAACCTCCCATAATTCCCACATGTTATGGGAGGGAACCAATGGGAGGTAACTGAATCAAAGGGGTGGGTTTTTCCCCGTGCTGTTCTAGTAATAGTGAATAAGTCTCATGAGATCTAATTATTTCATAAAAGAAAAGTTCCCTTGCATATAATGTGTTGCCTGCCACCATGTAAGATGTGCCTTTGCTCCTCCTTTGCCTTCTGCCATGATTGTGAGGCCTCCCAGCCATAACTGTGAGTCCGTTAATCCTCTTTTTCTTTATAAATTACTCAGTCTCAGATATGTCTTTATTAGTAGTGTGAAAACTAATATACCAAATGTGTTCTATTACAAAAGAAAACAGATTATTGAGCTTATGCAAATAAACATGTTGCCATGAATTAAGAATACTGAGCCAGGTGCAGTGGCTCATGTATGTAATCCTAACTCATTGAGAGGCTGTGGTGGGAGGATTACTTGAGGCTAGGAGTTTGACACCAGCCTAGGAAACACAGTGAGACCATATCTCTACAAAAAATTAAAAATATATCTGTTTGGGCATGGTGGCCTGTGCCTATAGTCCTAGCTCCTTGGGATGCTGAGGCAGGAGGATCACTCAAGCCCAGGAACTCAAGGATGCAGTGAATTATGATCCTGCCACTGTATTCCAGCCTGAGGAACAGAGTAAGACCCTGCCTCTAAAAATAAATTTTAAAAGAGGTAGGTGCAGTGGCACATGCCTGTAATCTCTGCAACTCAGGAGGTTGAGGCAGGAGGATTGCTCAAGTCCAGGAGTTTTAGATCAGCCTAGGTAACATAGTGAGACACTGTCTCTAAAAAATAAAAAATAATAATAAAAAAAATTAGCCAGGCATGGTGGCATGCAACTGTAGTCTCAACTACTCAGGAGACAGATGTGAGAAGATCATTTGAGCCTAGGAGTTTGATGCTGCTATGAGCCATGATTGCACCACAGCACCTTAGCCTAGGTAACAAAGAAAGACCCCAATTAAAACAAAATACTTACAAATAATTTTGAAGTTCTTAACAAAACAGGTAGAGAGAAAGGCAAATGTTTATATTTTGTTCACAAAAGTAGACATTACCCACGTACTATGAGCTGTAAATAGCTCATAAAGAAAAATGTTTTTTTTTTATTTTTCCATAAGTTATTGGGATACAGGTGATATTTGGTTACATGAGTCAGTTCTTAAGTGGTGATTTGTGAGATTTTGGTGCACCCATCACCTCAGCAGTATGCACTGAACCATATTTGTAGTCTTTTAACCCTTGCTTCCCTCCCCCTCTCCCCTGCAAGTCCCCAAAGTCCATTGTATCATTTGTACGCCTTAGCATAGGAATAGCTTAGCTCCCACATATCAGTGTGAACATACGATGTTTGGTTTTCCATTCCTGAGTTACTTCACTTAGAATAATAGTCTCCAGTCTCATCCAGGTCACTGCAAATGCTGTTAATTCATCCTTTTTTATGGCTGTGTAGTATTCCAGTGTGTGTGTGTGTGTGTGTGTGTGTGTGTGTGTGTGTGTGTGTGTGTGTATGTATATATACATATATACATACACACACATCTCACAATTTCTTTATCCGCTATTGATTGATAAACATTTGGGTTGGTTCCACTATTTTGCAATTGTAAATTGCGCTGCTATAAACATGCATGTGCAAGTACCTTTTTCAAATTATGACTTCTTTTCCTCTGGGCAGATACCCAGTAGTGAGATTGCTGGATCAAATGGCAGTTCTAGTTTTAGTATTTTAAGGAATCTCCACACTGTTTTCCATAGTGACTGTCCTAGTTTACTTTCCCACCAGCAGTGTAGACATGTTCCATGTTCAGCGCTTCCATGATAACATCTACTATTTTTTGCATTTTTGATTATGGCCATTCTTGTAGGAATAAGGCGGTATTGCATTGTGGTTTTGATTTGTATTTCCCTGATCATTAATGATGTTGAACATTTTTTCATGTTTATTAGTCATTTGTATATCTTTTAAGAATTGTCTATTCATGTTCTTAGCCCACTTTTTGATGGGATTGTTTGTTTTTTCTAACTGATTTGTCTGAATTTGTTGTACTCTGGTTCAGATGTATAGATTGTGAAGATTTTCTCCCACTCTGTGGGTTGTCTGTTTACTCTGCTGACTGTTCCTTTTGCCATGCAAAAGCTCATTACTTTAATTAGGTCTCAGCCATTTATTTTTGTTTTTATTACATTTGTTTTGGGTTTGGTCATGAAATTCTTGCCTAAGTCAATGTCTAGAAGGGTTTTTCTGATTTATCTTCTAGAATTTTTATAGTTTCAGGTATCAGGTTCAAGTCCTTAATCCATCTTGAGTTGATTTTTGTATAAGGTGAGAGATGAGGATCCGGTTTCATTCTCCTACATGCAGCTAGCCAATTATCCTATCACCATTTGTTGAAAAGAGTATCCTTTCCCCACTTTATGATTTTGTTTAGTTGAAGATCAGTTGGTTGTAAGTATTTGGGTTTATTTTTGTGTTCTCTATTCTGTTCCATTGGTCTATGTGCCTATTTTATACCAGTACCACATTGTTTTGGTGACTATGACATTATAGTAGAGTTTGAAATCACGTAGTGTAATGTCTCCAGATTTGTTCTTGTTGCTTAGTCTTGCTTTGGCTATACGGGCTCTGTTTTGGTTCCATATGAATTTTAGAATTGTTTTTTCTAACTTTGGGAAGAATGATTATGGTATTTCGATGTCGATTGCATTGAATTTGTAGGTTGCTTTTGGCAGTATGGTCATTTTAACAATATTGATTGTACCCATCCACGAGCATGGGATGTGTTTCCATTTGTTTGTGTCATCTATCATTTCTTTCAGCAGTTTTGCATTTTTCATTGTAGAGGTCTTTTACCTCCTTTGTTAGATATATTCTTAAGAAACAAGAACAAACCAAACCCAAACCCAGTAGAAGAAAGGAAATAACCAAGATCAGAGCAAAACTAAATGATATTGAAACAAACAAACCGAATAACAAAAGATAAATGAAACAAAAAAAACTGGTTCTTTGAAAAGATAAATAAAATTGATAGACCATTAGCAAGATTAACCAAGAAAAGAAGAGAGAATATCCAAATAACCTTACTAAGACACGAAACAGGAGATATTACAACTGGCACCACAGAAATACAAAAGATCATTCAAGGCTACTACAAACACCTTTATGCACATAAACTAGAAAACCTAGAATAGATGGATAAATTCCTGGAAAAATACAACCCTCCTAGCTTAAATCAGGAAGAATTACATGCCCTGAACAGACCAATAACAAGCAGTGAGATTGAAATGGGAATTTAAAAATTGCCAACAAAAAAAAAGTCCAGGACCAGACAGATTCACAGCAGAATTCTACCAGACATTCAAAGAAGAATTGGTACCAATCCTTTGACAATATTCCAAAGATAGAGAAAGAAGGAACCCTCTCTAATTCATTCCATGAAGCAAGCATCACCCTAAAACCAAAACAAGGAAAGGACACAACCAACAAAGAAAACTACAGACCAATATCCTTGATGAACATAGATGCTAAAATTCTTAACAAAATACTAACTAAATGAATACGACAATATATCAACAAGATCATCT